>NW_025791814.1:0-170129 GCF_000001405.40 Homo sapiens | reverse complement strand
GATGTGGGGGTAGAGGCCTCTTTGTCCCTGCTGAGTGACCAGAAGGAAGCTCCCAGATTCCAGCTCTACAGATGACAAGAAAGAAGGCTGCCCAGGCTAACTGAACGTTCACTGCATCTCAGACAGACCCGGTTAAAACACAAATATACGACACTCGTGTATTGAATCCCTACTGATTGAATATCTCCTGAGTAAAAAGACACTGGGTATTACCCTAACACATAAAAGGGTTAATATCTTAAATTAACACTCCTCACAGTCTCATTCATTTATCAGAATAGTGTGTATCAAAGACTGCAGGCAATGGGTTCTGAAGACATGAGACAGGCAAATCTTGAGAAGGTCAAGAAATAATACAAAGCCCAGCTCATAGAAGATGGTCAGTCACCACCTACACACACAAACACGCACACACATACACAGCCCAGTGAGGCCTTGTGAGAAGCTAAAGCCACACGAAGGCCCAGGGAGCATACAGAAAGGTAAGAAGACAGCAAAGACCATCGTCTTCCAATGTGGCCTCCTGTACACTCTGCTGGCACCAGGGCCTAAGGCATCCTGTATCCCAAACCAGAAATGGGAGACAAGCCATCATTTCCAGTAAGAGTCAACCTTCCTCTGTTTAACCCCCTTCCATGGCTTCCTGCTGCTCTCACAGTAGAGACTTACTAGCGTCTG
Organism: Homo sapiens; assembly: GCF_000001405.40. Lineage (NCBI taxonomy): Eukaryota > Metazoa > Chordata > Mammalia > Primates > Hominidae > Homo > Homo sapiens. Next base: position 169,451 of record NW_025791814.1, on the reverse strand, counting down.
AGGGGTCAGCCTTGTCTTCCTTGCCTTGACCCCTGGTCTCCAGCCTCCAACCTTGCCCCTAGTCTCCAGCCTTCAACTTTCTGGCCTCCTACAACTCCACAAATATACCTTCCCTCTGTCTGGAATTCTCTCATTTCCAGCCTAACTCAGCTCCTTCTGTGGGATGATTCAAGATGCACATTGTTGTAGAAACAGCTCTGTCAGCTTCATGGCAGAACAAGGCCAAGCCCCCAGCTAGGGTTCTGCTTCAGGTGGTCCCCAATGTGTGGTTCCTTGTGGCTGTTGTGTGGGAACTGTATCCATCTTTGGATCTCATGGATCGTTCCATAGTGGGTGCTCCAAAACCACTGCTAAGTTCTGTGCTTGCCTAAAGGCCAGGGAAGATTTTCCAATCCGTCTTTTATTCAGATCTACTTTATTTGAGAAGAATCATAAGCCTCAACAAAGTCAAAGCCCTACTTTTATACCTCGGTGTAGTTTTTAAAGTTCACCAGCAAGCAGAAGGATCACAATATTGATGAGCTCTTAAAAAATGCATGAGGGCCCCTGAGTACAAGCCAAGAATTGTAATCGAGTCCCTGCACATGGGCCTCTGATATCAATCTCACATTATTTATTTAGGGTTTTTCCTGCTTGCCGTTTGGGAGTGAAGATTCATTTACCAAGAGAGATTCTTTTACTAGTTTTCATTACCATGCTGCAACATTAATATTAAACTCAAAAAGTGTTAGATCTCGTCTGTCTCTGGTATGGGTGGACTCTATGCTCCCCTTTGGGAACCAGCTCTTTGACACTATAGTGTTGTTGCAAGTCTGGTCTCTGTGTTTTTTATTGAAATTGCTGGAACTCAAGGAAATCATCTTTTGCTTCTTACTTTTGCATCAATATCCAGCTCTATCCAGGCATAGATCTCAAACCTTGTTAGAAATTGATGAAAGTTCCTTTTTATGTGTCCGCAGAGGAGATTGAAGCCCCAAAAACTGTGATTCACATTCATTCCCACAAATTTGGGAAAGCATCGGCATGTTTACAGCCTCCAACTAACAAAGCATTGCAGAGGAGGAGGAAGAAGGCTACCCCAAACTGCTTTGGAATATCTGGCCCCCAGAAATGCATTTCATTTGTTCCACCCTTATCCATTAATTCCCAATACAGATGTATGTAACCAGTTTCAGTGGTGAGATACCTCAGAGTATAAGAAGGGCTCTTTTAGGCTTCAAGGTGCCTTTAGAAAGTATTGTGCCTGGGGGGGAGGAGCCAAGATGGCCGAATAGGAACAGCTCCCGTCTACAGCTCCCAGCCTGAGCGACGCAGAAGACGGGTGATTTCGGCATTTCCATCTGAGGTACCGGGTTCATCTCACTAGGGAGTGCCAGACAGTGGGCGCAGGTCAGTGGGTGTGCACACCATGCGCGAGCCGAAGCAGGGCGAGGCATTGCATCACTCGGGAAGCACAGGGGTCAGGGAGTTCCCTTTCCTAGTCAAAGAAAGGGGTGACGGACGGCACCTGGAAAATCGGGTCACTCCCACCCGAATACTGCGCTTTTCTGACGAGCTTAAAACACGGCGCACCACGAGACTATATCCCGCACCTGGCTTGGAGGGTCCCACACCCACTGAGTCTTGCTGATTGCTAGCACAGCAGTCTGAGATCAAACTGCAAGGCGGCAGTGAGGCTGGGGGAGGGGGGCCCCCCATTGCCCAGGCTTGCTTAGATAAACAAAGCAGCCAGGAAGCTCGAACTGGGTGGAGCCCACCACAGCTCAAGGAGGCCTGCCTGCCTGCCTCTGTAGGCTCCACCTCTAGGGGCAGGGCACAGACAAACAAAAAGACAGCAGTAACCTCTGCAGACTCAAATGTCCCTGTCTGACAGCTTTGAAGAGAGCAGTGGTCCTCCCAGTACGCAGCTGGACATCTGAGAAGGGCAGACTGCCTCCTCAAGTGGGTCCCTGACCCCGGACCCCCGAGCAGCCTAACGGGGAGGCACCCCCCAGCAGGGGCAGACTGACACCTCACAGGGCAGGGTACTCCAACAGACCTGCAGCTGAGGGTCCTGTCTGTTAGAAGGAAAACTAACAAACAGAAAGGACATCCACACCAAAAACCCATCTGTACATCACCATCATCAAAGACCAAAAGTAGATAAAACCACAAAGATGGGGAAAAAACAGAACAGAAAAACTGGAAACTCTAAAAAGCAGAGCACCTCTCCTCTGCCAAAGGAATGCAGTTCCTCACCAGCAACGGAACAAAGCTGGACAGAGAATGACTATGACGAGCTGAGAGAAGAAGGCTTCAGACGATCAAATTACTCTGAGCTACAGGAGGACATTCAAACCAAAGGCAAAGATGTTGAAAACTTTGAAAAAAATTTAGAAGAATGTATAACTAGAATAACTAATACACAGAAGTGCTTAAAGGAGCTGATGGAGCTGAAAACCAAGGCTCGAGAACTACGTGAAGAATGCAGAAGCCTCAGGAGCCAATGCGATCAACTGGAAGAAAGGGTATCAGTGATGGAAGATGAAATGAATGAAATGAAGCAAGAAGGGAAGTTTAGAGAAAAAAGAATAAAAAGAAATGAGCAAAGCCTCCAAGAAATATGGGACTATGTGAAAAGACCAAATCTACATCTGATTGGTGTACCTGAAAGTGATGGGGAGAATGGAACCAAGTTGAAAAACACTCTGCAGGATATTATCCAGGAGAACTTCCCCAATCTAGCAAGGCAGGCCAAAGTTCAGATTCAGGAAATACAGAGAATGCCACAAAGATATTCCTTGACAAGAGCAACTCCAAGACACATAATTGTCAGATTCACCAAAGTTGAAATGAAGGAAAAAATGTTAAGGGCAGCCAGAGAGAAAGGTCGGGTTACCCTCAAAGGGAAGCCCATCAGACTAACAGTGGATCTCTCGGCAGAAACCCTACAAGCCAGAAGAGAGTGGGGGCCAATATTCAACATTCTTAAAGAAAAGAATTTTCAACCCAGAATTTCATATCCAGCCAAACTAAGCTTCATAAGTGAAGGAGAAATAAAATACTTTACAGACAAGCAAATGCTGAGAGATTTTGTCACTACCAGGCCTGCCCTAAAAGAGCTCCTGAAGGAAGCACTAAACATGGAAAGGAACAACCGGTACCAGCCACTGCAAAATCATGCCAAAATGTAGAGACCATCAAGACTAGGAAGAAACTGCATCAACTAACGAGCAAAATAACCAGCTAACATCATAATGACAGGATCAAATACACACATAACAATATTAACTTTACATGTAAATGGACTAAATGCTCCAATTCAAAGACACAGTCTGGCAAATTGGATAAAGAGTCAAGACCCATCAGTGTGCTGTATTCAGGAAACCCATCTCACGTGCAGAGACACACATAGGCTCAAAATAAAAGGATGGAGGAAGATCTACCAAGCAAATGGAAAACAAAAAAAGGCAGGGGTTGCAATCCTAGTCTCGGATAAAACAGACTTCAAACCAACAAAGATCAAAAGAGACAAAGAAGGCCATTACATAATGGTAAAGGGATCAATTCAACAAGAAGAGCTAACTATCCTAAATATATATGCACCCAATACAGGAGCACCCAGATTCATAAAGCAAGTCCTGAGTGACCTACAAAGAGACTTAGACTCCCACACATTAATAATGGGAGACTTTAACACCCCACTGTCAACATTAGACAGATCAACGAGACAGAAAGTCAACAAGGATACCCAGGAATTGAACTCAGCTCTGCACCAAGTGGACCTAATAGACATCTACAGAACTCTCCACCCCAAATCAACAGAATACACATTTTTTTCAGCACCACACCACACGTATTCCAAAATTGACCACATACTTGGAAGTAAAGCTCTCCTCAGCAAATGTAAAAGAACAGAAATTATAACAAACTATCTCTCAGACCACAGTGCAATCAAACTAGAACTCAGGATTAAGAATCTCACTCAAAACCGCTCAACTACATGGAAACTGAACAACCTGCTCCTGAATGTCTACTGGGTACATAACGAAATGAAGCTAGAAATAAAGATGTTCTTTGAAACCAACGAGAACAAAGACACAACATACCAGAATCTCTGGGACGCATTCAAAGCAGTGTGTACAGGGAAATTTATAGCACTAAATGCCCACAAGAGAAAGCAGGAAAGATCCAAAATTGACACCCTAACATCACAATTAAAAGAACTAGAAAAGCAAGAGCAAACACATTCAAAAGCTAGCAGAAGGCAAGAAATAACTAAAATCAGAGCAGAACTGAAGGAAATAGAGACACAAAAAACCCTTCAAAAAATTAATGAATCCAGGAGCTGGTTTTTTGAAAGGATCAACAAAATAGATAGACTGCTAGCAAGACTAATAAAGAGAAAAAGAGAGAAGAATCAAATAGATGCAATAAAAAATGATAAAGGGGACATCACCACCAATCCCACAGAAATACAAACTACCATCAGAGAATACTACAAACACCTCTACGCAAATAAACTAGAAAATCTAGAAGAAATGGATAAATTCCTCGACACATACACTCTCCCAAGACTAAACCAGGAAGAAGTTGAATCTCTGAATAGACCAATAACAGGATCTGAAATTGTGGCAATAATCAATAGCTTACCAACCAAAAAGAGTCCAGGACCAGATGGATTCACAGCCGAATTCTACCAGAGGTACAAGAAGGAACTGGTACCATTCCTTCTGAAACTATTCCAATCAATAGAAAAAGAGGGAATCCTCCCTAACTCATTTTATGAGGCCAGCATCATTCTGATACCAAAGCCAGGCAGAGACACAACCAAAAAAGAGAATTTTAGACCAATATCCTTGATGAACATTGATGCAAAAACCCTCAATAAAATACTGGCAAACCGAATCCAGCAGCACATCAAAAAGCTTATCCACCATGATCAAGTGGGCTTCATCCCTGGGATGCAAGGCTGGTTCAATATACACATATCAATAAATGTAATCCAGCATATAAACAGAGCCAAGGACAAAAACCACATGATTATCTGCATAGATGCAGAAAGGGCCTTTGACAAAATTCAACAACCCTTCATGCTAAAAACTCTTAATAAATTAGGTATTGATGGGACGTATTTCAAAATAATAAGAGCTATCTATGACAAACCCACAGCCAATATCATACTGAATGGGCAAAAACTGGAAGCATTCCCTTGAAAACTGGCACAAGACAGGGATGCCCTCTCTCACCACTCCTATTCAACATAGTGTTGGAAGTTCTGGCCAGGGCATTCAGGCAGGAGAAGGAAATAAAGGGTATTCAAGTAGGAAAAGAGGAAGTCAAATTGTCCCTGTTTGCAGATGACATGATTGTATATCTAGAAAACCCCATTGTCTCAGCCCAAAATCTCCTTAAGCTGATAAGCAACTTCAGCAAAGTCTCAGGATACAAAATCAATGTACAAAAGTCACAAGCATTCTTATACACCAATAACAGACAAACAGAGAGCCAAATCATGAGTGAACTCCCATTCACAATTGCTTCAAAGAGAATAAAATACCTAGGAATCCAACTTACAAGGGATGTGAAGGACCTCTTCAAGGAGAACTACAAACCACTGCTCAAGGAAATAAAAGAGGATACAAACAAATGGAAGAACATTCTATGCTCATGGGTAGGAAGAATTAATATCGTGAAAATGGCCATACTGCCCAAGGTAATTTACAGATTCAGTGCCATCCCCATCAAGCTACCAATGCCTTTCTTCACAGAATTGGAAGAAACTACTTTAAAGTTCATATGGAACCAAAAAAGAGCCCGCATTGCCAAGGCAATCCTAAGCCAAAAGAAAAAAGCTGGAGGCATCACACTACCTGACTTCAAACTATACTACAAGGCTACAGTAACCAAAACAGCATGGTACTGGTACCAAAACACAGATATAGATCAATGGAACAGAACAGAGCCCTCAGAAATAATGCCGCTTATCTACAACTATCTGATCTTTGACCAACCTGAGAAAAACAAGCAATGGGGAAAGGATTCCCTATTTAATAAATGGTGCTGGGAAAACTGGCTAGCCATATGTAGAAAGCTGAAACTGGATCCCTTCCTTACACCTTATACAAAAATCAATTCAAGATGGATTAAAGACTTAAACGTTAGACCTAAAACCATAAAAACCCTAGAAGAAAACCTAGGCATTACCATTCAGGACATAAGCATGGGTAAGGACTTCATGTCTAAAACACCAAAAGCAAAGGCAACAAAAGCCAAAATTGACAAATGGGATCTAATTAAACTAAAGAGCTTCTGCACAGCAAAAGAAACTACCATCAGAGTGAACAGGCAACCTACAAAATGGGAGAAAATTTTCGCAACCTACTCATCTGACAAAGGGCTAATATCCAGAATCTACAATGAACTCAAACAAATTTACAAGAGAAAAACAAACAACCCCATCAAAAAGTGGGCGAAGGACATGAACAGACACTTCTCAAAAGAAGACATTTATGCAGCCAAAAACACATGAAAAAATGCTCACCATCACTGGCCATCAGAGAAATGCAAATCAAAACCACAATGAGATACCATCTCACACCAGTTAGAATGGCAATCATTAAAAAGTCAGGAAACAACAGGTGCTGGAGAGGATGTGGAGAAATAGGAACACTTTTACACTGTTGGTGGGACTGTAAACTAGTTCAACCATTGTGGAAGTCAGTGTGGCGATTCCTCAGGGACCTAGAACTAGAAATACCATTTGACCCAGCCATCCCATTACTGGGTATATACCCAAAGGAATATAAATCATGCTGCTATAAAGACATATGCACACGTATGTTTATTGTGGCATTATTCACAATAGCAAAGACTTGGAACCAACCCAAATGTCCAACAATGATTGGATTAAGAAAATGTGGCACATATACACCATGGAACACTATGCAGCCATAAAAAATGATGAGTTCATGTCCTTTGTAGGGACATGGATGAAATTGGAAATCATCATTCTCAGTAAACTATCACAAGAACAAAAAACCAAACACCACATATTCTCACTCATAGGTGGGAATTGAACAATGAGATCACATGGACACAGGAAGGGGAACATCACACTCTGGGGACTGTAGTGGGGTGGGGGGAGGGGAGAGGGATAGCACTGGGAGATATACCTAATGCTAGATGACTAGTTAATGGGTGCAGCACACCAGCATGGCACATGTATACATATGTAACTAACCTGCACAATATGCACATGTACCCTAAAACTTAAAATAATAAAAGAAAAAAAGAAAAGAAAATACTGCTAAAATACATCCAACTCAATACTTTTGGTAAATATTACTTGTTGCTAATAAAAAGTTTAGATATAAGAAAAAAAAAAAGAATGTATTGTGCCTCATTCATTTGTCTAAAGGCAAGAGCACCAAGGCTCAAAAGGGTCACAAAACTACCTGGAGGCAGAAGCAGAGGCAGAGACAGGATTTCAACACCAAGCCCTGCACTCTGTAACTACTGCTCTTTCCACTGGAATCAGCTCCTGCCTCAGCGGGTGCCAATGGAGAAAGACCTGGGGGTTTTGCCTTCTGATTACAGTTCCATTGGACCATCTCTTATTTTCTTCCATGAAGAACTGAGGTCGTAACTCCTTGTGGACTAGTATTCTGAGGCTGAGGGGTACAACTGCTTATCCTGGTTGAATTCAATGCTTTATAAGTAGAATTAAAGTGAAATAAGGAACACTTGGCCTTATGAATTCTGATCATCTAAAACAGAGTTTCTCAACAGCAGCACCGTTAGTATTTGAAGCCAGATCATTCTTCGTGGCAGGGGCTATTCTGAGCATTGGATGATGTTGAGCAGCACCCCTGGCCTCTGACCAATAGGTATCAATAGTGTCACCCTCCCCTGTGTTATGACAATCAAAATGTCTCCAGACTTTGCTACATGTCCCCTGGGGACAAAGCCACCCTCAGTGGAGAGCCTCTGATCTAGTGTTCAGATATTTTCCCCTAGTGTGGTGCCTGGGAGATAGCAAGAACCATAGCAAGAACCATTGTTTGATGATGGATTAATGGAATGCACATCCATTTTCTGAATTGCTTCATTCTTGTTATTTCAGTATTGATTTTGCCATCCTTCTTCCAAGAACTGAAATACATTCAAACCTTGCGTGTGTCTGAATAGATTGAGAAAATTCAGGAAGTTTTGCTTTCCTAGGTTTCAGCTAAAAGGAGGCAGGTTTAGTTCAGCAGTTTTCCCACAGTCAGGCCAACCATGGCTCTAATGCACCGTTAGTGGAGGGGGACAAGCTCTGAGTGTGAATCTGCTGATGGATGTGGGGCCTGCAGAAGGAATCTGTACATTTCAGGACCAGAGGCAAGGAGGAGCTTGTGATACTAGTATGCAAAGTGGTTAGAGAAAGAGAGAGAAATCAATGCTGACCTATTTAATCAGAACTTTTGGAGACATTAATGGCACTGAAGGTCCCCAGAGGGCAGCAACAGAAGGATGAGAAATGAAGCATGATGTCAAATAAGAAAGCAAAATGCTGCAATAATGGGTAAAGTGTCTCATCCTCAAGGCGGAAGTCAAAGCAGCTGCCTGGGTTCCCTCCAGAAAGGCAGTGATGGGTGCAGCCTGTGATCTGCACTGGGTTTTGGTGAGGCTGATGAGAAAAGAATGAGAAATGGGTGCCCCAGTGATGGATGGGCCAGTGGTCCTTGTATGGTGCACACATCTTTAAAGCTCCACAAGGGCCGTTCAAAGTGGGTGGTACACATTTATTCTCATAGTACTCACCTTTCTGGTGCCCTCTTCCTCCACTGCTCCTTACCACTGTCCCAGATGGTTACCATGTTCCCCTTTTCCCTTCTCTATTTGTGACTCTGTCTCTAATTTTTATCTGTCTACCGACCTGCGTAGCTATGTTTCTTTTCTTTTTTTTTTTTTTTTTTTGAGACGGAGTCTCGCTCTATCGCCCAGGTTAGAGTGCTACGTTTCTTTCTTTCTGCCTCCCTGTGTGTGTTTCCATCTCTCTGATCCCTCTCTCTCTCTCTGTGTGTCTCTTCCCCTCTCTCTCATCCATCCTCCCTCACACCCCCCCAGCCTTATTCATCTCAGCCTCCCCTGACCCTGGTATGTTCCTGCATCTCAGTCCCTGAACTCAGTTTCCCAGAGCCCTTCTCTGTGCTTGGCCATCTCCACCTTCTCCATCCCTCACCCTCACTTAGGGTCTCTGACAGGAAGGGCATTGGCCTCAGGGCAGAGCACAGTGGGTTCATGGTGTGCAAATCCACCATTACAGCCCAAAGAAGTCAGCAGGGGGACCCTGTCCCAAAGGCCCAGGCAGGACTCTGTGAGCCTTTGTATTCATGCTGGGCCTGGGCTGGAGACACTAACTGGGTTTAGCTCACTGGGAAGGAACCGGCAGTGCGGGCAGGTAGGTGAGCAGGGCAGAAGGAGGGCATGGAAGTGAGTTCAAGCTCAGTTCCTCCTGCCGTCAGACCATGAGCTGGATCCTCCTGCCAGCGCTAGTCCTTTCCTTCTCCATGCCTCAACTTCCCCTTTCAGTATGCTGCTCTTCCAGTTAGATTTTCCCTCCCATATCTCTCTCCTCTCTCTCTCTCTCTCACACACACACACACACCACACTTTTCTTGATGTGTATGCCCTGCTTGCTGTCTTATTGCACTCAGCTACCTCTTTGTCCCTCCCCTGCTTCATGTTTTTACCCCTTTTCTATGCCTTTGATTTCGTGGATAGAAGTTTTAGCACAAGGGAAACAAAACAAGGAAAAGAAGGAAGGAAGGAAGGAAGTTAGTTTTCATGTTACCTGAGACTGGGTAATTTATAAAGAAGAGATTTAATGGACTCACAGTTCCATGTGGCTGGGGAAGCCTCACAATCATGGCGGAAGGTGACAGGCACATCTTATATGGTGGCAGGCAAGAGAAAAATGAGAGCCAAGTGAATGGGGCAACCCCTTATAAAGCCATCAGACCTTGTGAGACTCATCCACTACCATGAGAACAGTATGGGGGAAACCACTGCCATGATTCAATTACTTCCCACTGGGTCCCTCCTACAACACATGGGAATTATGGGAGCTACAATTCAAGAAGAGATTTGGGTGGGGACACAGCCAAACTATATTAGAAGGAAAATAAAGGAAAGAATGGAGGGAATGAGAGAAAGAGATAAAGAGACAGGAGGAAGGGAAAGAAGGAGGGAGAAGGGGAAGGGGGGAAATGTGGAGAAAGGTTGAGGGAAGCAAAGCAGAGGAAGTGAAGTGACACCATAGAGTATGGAAATCATTGCCAAAAATATAAGTGAATTTTGTCATAGCTGGTTTTACTGAAACAAGTACTAAGACTGGGCATTTGCCTTTGCCAGTGTTTATGGCAATGATAGATTTACACACAGGGATGCTGAGGGCATTTGCACCCAGTGGAGGTGAGTACCCATGACATGGTGACCCAATATGGTGACCCTGGAGTTCAAAGCACAAAGGATCCTTGGACTTCTTCTGGATCCCTGCTACTTTTCACTGCATGGGAGAACTGGAGAGGGTCCTGAATGGTAAGCTGTGGGGCAGGTGAGCTGGGGAGTACCAGACACACCCAAGAAGGCCCTGCTCCCTGTGGAAACAGATTCCTTAATCCAGGGAAAGCTTTCACATGCATTATCTAAGTTACTCTTCACCACAGCCCTCTATGCTAGATTCTGCTATTACTCCCATTTTATGGATAAGGAAACTGAGCCCAGATCTAGACCTGTCAGATAAATGCAGGCAATGTTATCCTGGCCTCTATTCCTCATCACCACAATTAAAGCCAAGGGCTGGTTTCTCCCATGTGACACAGGCAGATGGCAGGCAGGGCACTGGGGAATGCTGTGCCAATGTCCCCATGGTCACCACAGTCTCACACATCATGTGTCTCTTTCTGGATCAATAACTGCATGAGTTGTCTTGCTATGTGTAGGCATCTTAAGCATATAGGAGGACAATTAGAGAATCCAGGTCCTCAGAGGCTTTGTTGATGAGCACATGGGCTGGGGTTTTAAAGAACATAAGTGCCTGTAATAACAGAGCTTACCGCTGACTACTCTGGTGCTCTCTTCTCTGTAAGTGCATTAATTATTGAGAGAACTCATTTGCAGCACGCACACAGTTGAAAGGGCTACTTTGGACGCTAATCAGAAAATACACATTGTTGAAGGGAGCTAATTAAAGAATCACACAACTTTGTAGAGCTTTGCCTGAAAAACTGGATCAATCAGAGATATTGGATATTCAGAGATACTTGTCAGACCTGCAATAAACAAATACATGTAGGCATTGCATGTAAAGATGTAACACTGAGCTGTTTCCATTAGGAAGGATTTTTATTTCTCATCTGTCCATTTCAGTGACTGGAGCCCTCTTGATAACTACATCTGAAGTGGGAGCCCCTGCAGGCAGGATGCAGATATTATGAGTCCTATCTTTTGATTTCAAACACGTTTCTTCCTTCCAATCTAAGACCTGCGCATTCTGCAGTCCAGCCGGGACCACAATGCTATTACTTTGTGGAGGTTTAATAAGCCCTGTGCATTCAATGGGGAGTCACTAAAATAGAGATTTATCCCCAAATCTGTTGCAACACATTACAAATATGTCAAGCGTTCGTGATTGAGTCGGGTCTCAGAAAGAGCATGAGGCATTCTTGACCTATATATTTAAAGAACCCTGGAGGTAAATGTCTGTCCCATTTCCTCAAATATACAAACAACATGATAAAAATAATATTGAATAAAAATAATTTAAAATTTAAAATAAATAAATAATAAAATTAACAATTTGTTTATCAGATTCTTAGGAATAAAGACATAATCACTTTCAGGAGATTGAATGTATAAAACTACAAATCGCAACACTGGTCAATTAAGGTGTATTGATTCACATACAAAAGGATGTTCACATTACAAAAGAATTATTCAATTTTTTCTTAATGACAGCTCTGTTAATGCTTTCATCACTTTTTTTGCAAATAATCCCTGGTTAGAGAAGACTGAAGAATAACTACCATAAACGAACATTAGTAATTTTCAATGCCATCAAGTTTCATAAAGTTTTAAAAATTCAAATTATTTCATCTTTCAGGAACAAAGCTATTCTATATGGCAAGAGATTCCTGAACCCTCCACATTAGTGTCTATAATGGGTAGGCCTCATGCCATTATATTTTTCTAAGCCAAAGTTCAGATGCATCAAGTTACCAAAACCCTTTTTACAAGAATGCCAAATTATGTAATTCCTTCCTATAAGAATGTTATGGGCCAGGTGCGGTGGCTCACGCCTGTAATCCCAACACTTTGGGAGGCTGAGGCGGGTGGATCACCCGAGGTCAGGAATATGAGACCAGCCTGACCAACATGGAGAAACCCTGTCTCTACTAAAAATACAAAAATTAGCCAGGCGTGGTGGTGCATGCCTGTAATCCCAGCTACTCAGGAGGCTGAGGGGGGAGAATCGCTTGAACCGGGAGGTGGAGGTTGTGGCGAACCGAGTTGCACTCCAGCCTGGGCGACAAGAGCAAAACTCCATCTCAAAAAAAAAAAAAATGTTATGGCCCATTTATTGTCTAGGTATTTATTACTGAGCTTCCCTTGGATCCAGTTGACAGTAGGAAGCCAACGTTGAATTAGAATGCCTTTAATTTCAGTGAGCCCAGTCCAGTGTCGCTGGGGTCATTTAGTGAATTACATGCTGCCATTCCCAGTGAAATCATATAACTACTCATCATCACTTAGTAGAATAAAGATATCCTGAAAAAGCTAAATGGAGTTTTGAATCATAAATCCCAAGTGGTGCAACAATGTAATAACACAATGACAAAGAAATCATTTGCTGCATTTCCCAAAAATAAGGTCATTGCTCCTGTTGTTCGCGGAAAAAAATTTTCAAGACGGGTAATAACATTTTGAAAATTTGTATGCTCATTTAAATTGTATAAAATGCATTTCTAGGGCTTGATTTGGCCATATTTATTTTTAGTTCTCTTATACTTTTTTTTTTTTGAGATGGAGTTTCATCCTTGTTGCCCAGGATAGAGTGCAATCGTGCAGCAACCTCCAATGCGCAGGTTCAAAAGATTCTCCTGCCTCAGCCTCCTGAGTAGCTGGGATTACAGGCGTGTACCACCACGTCCAGCTGATTTTTCTATTTTCAGTAGAGACGGGGTTTCCCCATTTTGGCCTGGCTGGTCTCGAACACCTGACCTCAGGTGATCCATTGCCTAGGCCTCCCAAAGTGGGCGGGGATTACAGGCCAGTTCTCTTATACTCTTGAATAGTCCTTTCCTTCTGTTATGCTGGTTGTTCTTTTTCTGTGGGTAAACTTGAAGGTGTTTCCTAAGGTTCAGGCTTTAAACACTGTCTAAACACATATCACTTTCATTGCCCCGCTAGCAGAGCAGCTGGCTAATGGCAGCCCTCACTTGGCTCAGGTGGTCTCAGATCCCCTCAGCCTGCACCTTCGGGGCCTATGGGTCCAAAGGGGCTGGATGAGGAAGGCTCAATTAATTATTGTTAGCATACAGTAACATAAGGAAAGCAGGGGATATTTTGAAGCAAAAGAAACAAGAATGTTCAGTTACTTTAGACTCAGAAAACGAGCAGTGAGTCATCCTAGAGCTACGTTTCTATGATAAAAATACCTACTAGATATCTTGTCTTGAATGTCCCCAGCAGCATCAAACTCAGCAGGTCTGAAACTAAACCCTTCATCTTTTGTCATCAAAGTACGATCTTTCCCCTATACACCCTTTCACAGTTAGTGATTTCACTGTCCACACAGTTTCCTGAGCTTAGAGCCTGGGAAGGAGTCACCCCTAACCCCTTCTCCTCTGTCACCACTCCCACTTGTCATTGACTCTGAAGCCACCTTCCTTGGACCCCCTTCATATCTCACAATTTAATTCCCTCTCTCACATCCCACAGCTGCTCCTGAGCTCAGACCATCATCATATCTCTCTCCCTGCACATCCTTTACCCTGGGCCCTCGCTCCAGGACCACACACCACCAGCCCATTCTCTAGACAGAGTTTTGCACCTGGTATGTCACGAGTTACAGGTGTGCCAAGATGGTGAGTCCTTCAGACCTCAAGGTGGCCAGAAACAGCTCCCTGGGTTCATCCCAGTGTACTGCACAAATACCCCTTGTCTGCCTGTTCCTCAAAAAGTGGGAAGCACTGGGCTGGATAATGCACACTGTCTGTACCAAAACAGCAGAAACTCAGACCCAGCGTCAGTCCAGCTCAAGTCAGGCAGTGTTGGTTGCAAAGTGGACCTGGTGGCTGGGCCCTAATTGTGCTCATGCTTTGCAAGGAGGTGATGGGATATATTAAAGCCTTGAAACAGGGCCCTGAAGATGGGAATGAGAAGGAGTCAAGGCCAGGTGGCTCATGCCTGTAATCCCAGTGCTTTGAGAAGCTGAGGCAGGAGCATCACTTGAGTTCAAGAGTTTGAGACCAGCCTGGGAAACCAAGCAAGACCCTGTGTCTCCAGAATATTTTAAGAATAATAATTAGCCAGGCATGGTGGTATGTAACTGTAGCCCTAGCTACTCTGGAGGCTGAGGTGGAAGGTTTGCTTGAGCCCAGGAGTTTGAGGCTACAGTGAGCCATGAATGCACCATTGCACTCTAGCCTGGGCAACAGAGCAAGACTCTATCTCTTCTTGTTTAAAAAAGAAAAAAAAAAAAAAAGAGTCAAGAGATATTTTGCCAGTAGAATTAACCTGGAGAGAAAGGTGTCAGTGAAACCTCTGAGGTTTCAAGGATGGAAGGATGGTGATAATGTTACACAAGATGGAGCACACAGGAGAGAAGCAGTATTTGGGATTGGGAGGGGATGGGGTTGGCCTTCATTAACTGAATTGGTAGACTGTGGCCTTCAGAATTCCAGATGGACACTCGTGTGGAAATGCCTAGCAAAGCACCTAAAATTCACATCTAGGGCTCAGGAGAAAGAGCAAAATGGAAAAGATAGATGGGAATGTTATTTATAAAGCAATGAGGAAAGCAGCCAAGCCTTCCGAGAGAGGCCTGAGAGCAGGCCACTGAACACTCCGTATTTAGAGGAAAGACAGAGAAAAGGATCCAGTCAAGGAAAGTGAGAAGGGGTGGCCAGAGATGTAGGCAGAGATCTGGAAGACCACAGTGCCCTGGCAGCTGAAAGGGCCAACAACAAAAATATCAACGGCATCAAATGCTATAGTAATGCAGGTAGGAAGAGGACGAAGAGGAAACCAGAGAATTTGGCAATGAGAGGTCAGGGTGACCTTTCAGTAGCTGATGGTGAAAGAAGCTGTGTCAGTTCAGGTTTTTGAGAAGCGCCTAGCAAGACAGATTAGACACACAAGGAATTTATTGGGGAAATTCTTGTGAAGAAGGAAGCAAAAGGAAGCAGGAGGTGGCAAGGAGAGTCTGGAGACCGTAACAGAGGTCCGACACCTGTGAGAGGAGAAGGCGAAGGAGGGATTGGTTGGAGGCACGTCAGGCTGCGGTGCACTTCTGAGAAGGCTGCAGTGAGGCTGATGGGGTATCCCTGAGCAAAGGATGCCTGTTAGGGAGATCCTGCATCAGGCGGGGACGGCCATGAGAAAAGCCCTGTCACGCTTGTCATTGGCTTGCAGCATCCCAGAGAACACATGCCTCCCTTCCTGCAGCAGATGCTCTTGGTTTTTTTGTTTTGGTTTGGGTTTTTTGTTTGTTTTGTTTTGTTTTGTTTTGTTTGAGTCTTGCTCTGTCACCCAGGCTGGAGTGCAGTGGCATAATCTCAGCTCACTGCAACCTCCTCCTCCCGGGTTCAAGCGATTCTCCTGCCTCAGTGTCCCCAGTACTGGGACTACAGGCGCCCACCATCATGCCTGGCTAGTTTTTGTATTTTTAGTAGAGAGGGGGTTTCGCCATGTTGGCCTGGCTGGTCTTGAACTCCTGACCTCAGGTGATCCTTCCACCTCGGCCTCCCGAAGTTCTAGGATTACAGGCATGAGGCACACCGTGCCCAGCCAGCAGATGCTCTTGAAGGAGACCTGAGGTTACGTTTGCGTGGCACCACAGAAGCCAGAGTGACCATAAGCAGGAAGTAGAAACACTAGAATTCTGGTCTAAGCTGCTGTCATCTCTATACACAGCATGGCTGAAACAGAAGAGCCACGCAGAAGTTAGCAGGTAGGCAGGGCCTGGTAAGAAGGCCATAAGCTGTGGCGCTTTCACCCAAAGCCATCATGAAGACCCATAACTAAGTGGCTGGCCAAGCTCACAAGGTTTCATAGAATTGCCAAGACGAGAGCCAGCTGTCCATCTTCGCTTGGCGTCCCTGGCTCTCTCCTCAAACCCTGTGCTCTCCCTGTACTTCCAATCACATGCGGGGTTTGGTCTATCACCGTTCGTACCCAGTGGACACTGATGCCTTTGATGTATGTTTTTCTTTCAACGATGGTGTGTTGAAGGATTCTGTTACCTCCATTCCTCCATTTCTGTACAAGTAAGTTAATACAAGTAAGTAAGTACTGTAGGAAAATGAGCTCCTCCCGCGCCCAGGGAGGAGGTAGGAGGACGATTCCACCTGTCTTTGTGGTGAGCGCTGAAGGAGGATCTTGAGAAAGGCACCTGTGTGCAGCGGCATTCTCATCTCTAAAGCCCGCATGGCTTCCCGTGTGCACACAGGACATTCTGCCCATGTTTACCAAATGAAGACACCAACTAACTACCCTGTCTTTCCTTCTAGGTGACCTCATACATTTGCCTCCATACCTTAGAATGGACTTTTTGTTAAACCGAGGTGGTCCAGGCACCAGCAGGGACCTGAGCTTAGGACAAGCATGCTTGGAACCTCAGAAAAGCCGGACCCTGAAGCGCCCCACGGTCCTGGAGCCCATCCCGATGGAAGCCGCCTCCTCCGCCTCCTCCACGAGAGAAGGACAGTCGTGGCAGCCGGGGGCCGTGGCCACATTACCTCAGCGGGAGGGAGCAGAGCTGGGACAGGCAGCTAAAATGAGCAGCTCCCAAGAATCACTGCTCGACTCCCGGGGCCATTTGAAAGGAAACAATCCTTACGCAAAATCTTACACCCTGGTATAACAGACAGCATGACTGGACAGCGGTTGTAAATACAATTCAAACAATTCAATCAAAGCTACCTTTTTTTTACGGAATTCCAATATTTATAATTAAAGAAAATTGCCAAAATATATTAAAAAAAAAAAAGAGAAAATACTGAAACCACAGACAGTGCAAAGACTCTCCTGCTTTTTTTCTGTCTGAGTGTGAGCTCCATCCGCCTGGGCATCTGATTTTTTGGGAAAGAAGTCCAGTTTTATGATCTTCACAGGCTATTGCATTTTTACTGATTTTCTACAAAAGTGCATGGGGGGGATTAATTAAACCTTCTGACTGGAAGTTCTATCACACAAGAGGCAAGAAAGAAAACAGGGTGGGTGGGAAATCAGCCTATTTGTGAATTTAAAAGGAACACCGATTTGCGGGCAGGGGAAAACTTCAGTCACGTTTGCACACCTTTCTTTCCCATTAGAAACCGGGTTCTCAATTTGGTCTTCTTTTGTTGTTAATTAGGATGAGTGCCGTCAGTGAAGGGGTGGGGGGAATCAATTTGGTTTTCTCTCTTGTTTCTTTTTTAATTTAATGAGACACTCTTTGCATTTTGTCTAAGCGAAATAAAAAAGAAAAGGTTGTCTGCCTTTATTTCCATGTCTGCTTCTCTCGTCTTCTGCCAGTGGCCTGGTCCTCCTTCCCATTGACACTTCTGTTTGGAAACACCAGGCCTGAACCCAGAGCCCAATTCAATAAACCAGAGTCGATACTAACACCCTGAACTCCTCAGGAATCTCCAGGAAGCACAAAGAAGGTGCAGCTCCTGCTCTCAAGCTGGAGAGGACAAAATGCAGGCTGGTCTCCACCGCAACCAGAGGCCAGCCCAAGTATTCGAAGCCCGTCGCAAAGCTCTGCCCCTTGCCTGCCCATGGCCAGAGTTCAACTGACTGTGGCCTATGGGCCAAATCCAGCCTCCTGCTGTTTTTTAAATAAAGTTTTATTGAAACAAGGCCACATGCACTATTTGCTATTGTCTATGGCTGCTTTCATGGCACAATGGTAGAGCTGAATAGTTGCAGCAGAGATGGTATAGCCCATGAAGCCTAAAATATTTATTACCTGGCCCATTACAGGAAACATTTGCCAGACCCGTGCTCTGGAGTCTGAAATGTAGCCCCAGCTTGCGTGACAAGGGGCAAGATCGTGCATCTTACCCTCCATGACTTTTCCTATCTCCACTATGCCTGGTATGCAAATTTGTGATAGACCATCTTAATAAACATTGCCTGAATCCTCTGTAACCAGAGGAAAGTGATGTTCCTCTAAAATCTAAGTTTTTACTTTCCTTTCCCTCACTTTATCTCCCATGTGGCTCATCCTAAGAGAGAATTTACTCATAAATAGTCGGAACTGCATTCTTTATCCCACAACCCTCACAGGGTTTGCTTTATGAAAGAGGATGTAATCCTCCCCTGGCTGCAACACTCCATTCCAGGCTCACTTCCATAAAATGGAAAGATAAACAGGTCTTTGTGTCAGAGATTTGGCATTAACCAGAAAACATGATCAAATATCCACAGCTGCTCAGTCTCCCAGGCTGAAGATTCTCTACAGGCTTCCATTAAGGCCACCAACATAGACTGGTGCCAGTTATTACCATCTTGGGAACATATTCAGAAATGTCTTTCCTTCCCTCCCTCCCTCCTTCTTTCCCATCCTTTCTTCCTTCTATTTATTTTCCAGGCAGGCCCATTTGTCTGCTTAGATTCAGTGACACAGAATGGGTCCAGGACCATGTCAAGACCACCTGCTGATGCTAGTGTTAGATGACTCCAGGAATGTGAGGTGTGCATCCATGGTTTCAGAATGTAATCCGTGTTGACGTGTACTGTTTGCATACTCTCAGACTGTTTTTTTTTTATGCAAAAGAAATGTTACTTTCTGGGGGAAAAAATTAAAAGTCTATCTTTCATCAACCTAAAACTTCTATATCCCCCAAACATAGAAGTTTACCTTTTTAACATTTTTCTCTCAACCTGTACAAAAATAAAAAAATTCTACATTATGTCTGCCTCTAGAATGGATTGCTTTCAAGACTCCTGCCTTAAAAATACTCATTAAAATCAGTTTAACACACAAACAATTGTCTCAAAAGATCACCTCCTTCCAGTTCAGATAGGGGTCTATTATTGCTGTCTTCAAGGGGCTGCAGATTAAAGGGTAGTGTATACTAAAACGACTGTTATTGACAGTAATAATAATTAATCTTCCTCTAGACCTCTACCTGTCTGATTTGTTTTGTGGAAGTCACCGTATTAGCCCAAATCTGCACACAGATTATTCTATGTTGGAATGGTGAAACTCAAATAAATTCTCTATCCTCTGGTCAATATCTATAGGGTACATGGACAATAGCTGTTGAATCAGTGGACTGGGTTTCCTCCTCAGCATCCATCTGGCTGGCAGCCTGGAAAATGCCCACCCTCCTGGACTAAGCAAGGCCTTCTCTTAATACCCAGCCAATAAGCCTCGCAGGACTCAGCACTCACAATGTCTCCAGGAGCCTGGTTTTCCATGCCATTCACATCTGCCTGATGCCTGCTATCCTGCATCCACGTCCACCATGTCTACCCTTGAAGAGAAGAAGGTGGAACAGTTGAGATGGGAAAAGATGGACCAGTGCCATGACATGAAGCTGGTTACCAGCTACACCGGATAAGCTTTTATTCCACCCATCATCTTTGGGCCCTTGCTGCAGAGACCCTTGATACTATCTTACAACACAGAAAACACACTGTTGCTTAAATTGCTCTTTACGCAAGCAGGAGATCACCACTCAGTAGAGGTCCCTCTGGTCTGGTGTCAGGATCCCTGAATCACTCATATGCCAAAAGTTTTATGCAACTTTTAAGGACATGGCTGAGGCCTTCTAGAGAAGCTCTGAAACTCTATGAATCAATTTCCAGCAATGACACACAGCCTTCTGAAACTGGGATAAGACTGGGAACCAAAGGACTAGTGTGTTATAGACCACTTACCCACCAAAGGTTCAAAGGAAACTAACAGTTTGTCCATAAAAGTCCTCTTTTAACTTTCTAAAGAACGTGGTAGAGAGTATCTCAGCTCTCTGAGGAGCACCTGGAAAGACTAAATATCCTCAGTTTAATATCCAGGGCACCCGAGGCCCATGTTGCTTCTCCACCCATTATTCCAAAGTGGTCCATGAGAGGCAGCAGAGTGTGGCTGCAGTGAAAGAAAGATTTTCTGCAGGTCTTGGAAACCAAGCTGTTGTAATCCCTAACAAGAGTTTAAGCCAGGAAGGAATCTTCAGGCCTGCATAAAAGCTGTGTCTGTTTGCTGTGGGATGTTTGTTTGCTTGAGGAGGAGACTTGTGATGGCAGGGTCACTGAGTAGCCTGAAGAATATGTGGCAGTGACAAGCCAGAGCTACAGCAGGGTCAGATGGCAACTGCGGACAGGATCCTCGCTGATCTCCTCACCCCCTGGCAAGCAGGGACTGAAGACTGGATAGGCCTGATGCTAACTTGGGTCACCTGAGTGCCATCAAGGGAGTCAGTGTACCTGTGGGGAGACCATCCCCCATGGGTCATTGCATTTGTGCCTGTCTCTTGAGCAGAGGCTTTGATGGTTTCTGTTCTGTGCTGTTTTTTCAAGGATGCTTGCATAGCAGATAGCCTTGGAAGATAGAGATAGTGTCTCCTTGCTGGGCAGAAGGCAGATTTGTTGGCTGACCTAGATAATAAAAACAGCATCTCCATCTGAGGCAAAATTTGGGCAGGTGTACCAGCAACCCCCTTCCAGAGTTTCTTAGGCATTAGACACAGCCAATCAGGAGTCACAGCCTCTCTGGTCTCTGCCTAGAATCTGGGTGGTCTGGGGCAGCCTCCCTCAGCTCCTTCATCTTTGGTCCAAGCTCATCTTTTCAATGAGGGCCTCCATGAGCACCCTATTCAATGCCACAACTCCCCCAGGATTCCTGCCCCCCACATCTGCTTTAGCTCTTGTCCATACCCTTATCATCTAACTCACTCTAGAATTTATTTATTCATAATGGTTATTCTTTGTTGTCTGTCTTTCCTCTCAAGGATGTCAGCTTCACAAGAACATAATTCTTTGTTTTGTTTACTTGTGCCCATAGTTCCTAGAAAAGTCCCTGGCACACAATAGCCATCTTACAAGTATTTGTCGACTGGAAAAAAAAAAGTTTAGGGTTTCCTAAGCTTAGAGCTCCTCAGCTATGACACAAACCCACTGCGTACACAGCATCCACTGGACTGCTCTGCCTCACCCCAAGGGCCCTGCAGGGATGGGTAGCTGGTGAGAATATGGCTCTCACGCTCATTGCTATAACTTGAGTAATGATATTCTCAATCTCTGATGCTGCCTTCTGCCAGCATCTATGAAACTGAGACAAGCCAGCTTGGTAACTCACAAGAAAAGTATAAATCCCAGGCTTTCTACCATCCTCAACAAGCACAAACCAGACATGGGCAGCACCAGCTCCCTCCCTGACTCCCCAGAGGGACAAGTCACAGCTTAGACTCACAAACTTTTTGCAATTTGGTGGGAACGGTATTTTTTTTCTTTCTCTCTCTTCTCAATCTCTCACCATCAAAAAGGAAGAAAAATGGAAAACTTGGTAAAAGTGACTGTTAGCACATGGCGCGGGGTGCCTGTTTCATCTCTCAAGACCAGCTTGACAAAGCCAGAAAGCCCTTTGTGTCCCAGAAACTTCAACCCCACTCTAAGAAGAAAAGATAATGTTTATCATCTTCAGCACTGGATCACCCAGAGAGTGCTGGACTCTGCCTCTAGGAGGTCATCTTTCCATGGAGAAGAAAATACCTGCCACATACATTCATGTGTGTGGTGGCACCAGGGGCAAGGGTCCTTGCTCCAAGATCCTTGGGGATGGCAGTCCTGGACCAGACCGCAACCTAGGTGGGTCACCAAGCCCACTGGACATCAGAGGGCATCACAGCCAAAGGAGAGGTGCCATTCCCTATCATGCTGTGTGTGCCTGCAAGGGTTTTATTCTCAAGCAATTAATTAATTCAATGTTTCCCTCAATCTTTCATTCTCTGAGGTTCCCCTAAGGGTGACCACCTCACTAAATAGAGGGGACGTCCCCTTGCTACTCTGTGAAGAAATGTTTTAGCAGTGTATTAAAAAGATGCTTCTGTTTCCGGAGCCGAAAGTATAAGTGTCTTATAAAGGTGCAACTTCCTAGATAGCAAACTGATGGTGTGGTATCCTGGTTCAACCCCCAGGTATGGAAAACCAGGCCCCTCACCCTGAGTGGAAGCACAGTCGTCCATGCAACCACTGCTCACACTTGGTAGAACACAAATCCACTACACGCCTGCAGCACGCCAACAACCCTCAACATCTGTTTCCCCATCCAGGGTGAAAGGTGGTTCCGTCACAGCCCAGCAAGGTGACTGATGACAGTTCTAAGAGATACACTTTGCACACGCCAAGTGAAGCAACAGCCAGAGAAAGATACAGCCACTAGAACTGATTTTACCTCCATCTAGTATCAACCCAATCCTGTGTCTGTTCCTCTGTTTAGTCATGTGATGACAGAACATTCCTCATTGAAACTTCTACTTCTCTTCTCCAGTTGATACTCTTTGAAAGGTCTCTCATCATCTTCGAGTTAGCAGATGGCATTCTGTCCACTTCTGTAGCAAAAGTTAACCCTCAACACCAAGGTGCTGACGTTTTCTGTAGCAAAAGTTTACCCTCAACACCAAGGTGCTGACGTTTCCAGGAAGAGGACTGGGAGTTCTTTGCATGGAGCCAAGAATAATGAAGACGCTTCCAAAAGGAGTTACAGAGCACCTGGGAAGGGGACATTCTTGTTGCTATGGAAGTAACTGGAAAAGCTTCTGATGTCCGTCTTGGTCAAGGTCCATTCTTAGATGTGTTTGCGTGTCCATTCCGCAGCATGTAAAAATTGGGCTTATTCAATGACCTAGGATCACAGGAAAATTTGGGGCGAGCAAGGGACGTGGCCTAATAGGAAGAACACTGCACTGAGAGGCTTAGTCCAAGCACCAGCTCCTCGGTAACAAGCCAGGAGGTCTCACAAAAGGCCATCTGGTTGGACATCAGTAAACAGACCTGAGTGGACCAGGAGGACGCTAAGGCCCTGCTTGCCCAACAAGGAGATGACCTTTCTCAGTACCAACCTCACTGGGCAGATATTTGAGCTCCTTAAAAGTGTGTGGTGGGGGGTAAGTTGAGGCTGCCCTCCATTTATTTTTTGTACCCCTAGCACCCTGCACAGGCATCAGCCCAAAGTGGTGAATTGGTGACTGTTTAAGAAGGATGTGACATGAAAGTCAGTGTGCATAGATGTGTCGTGGAACATAAAAAGGGAGGTTCTCCATGTCTGTGAGCTCAGTGTGTAAGGCAGACTTTTATCCTTTTAATAAACTCCTAAACTCACCTAATTATTGTTGTGTTTGCATTTTATCCTAGAGGGAAAAGGAAGTTTAAAAGACCAACCTGATTATTTGTAGGTTTCCGATACTACATGTGTGTTGCACAAATTCTCACATGCTGCTGTTGAAAAGATGGACCTTCCCTCAGGTCCTTCTAAATAAAAACCTCTCTTTAGGCAAAGCTCTACCTGAACATCCTCTTGAGTAGATTTCTAAATTCATGCTGGTGGCCCCTGCGTGAGAGTCAGCAGAAAACTGCTTTCTGTTGTTGCCATCATTGGTAAAAAGTCTGAGGGTCTCTCCGTAGGGGGCGTGTGCCCAGTCCCTCCCTCTCCCCAGGCCCTCCCTCTCCCCAGGCCCTGCTCCTGCCTTAGTACACCGGGCAGCAGGCACCTCACATTTCTCATCCTTGGAAATGTGAACCAGGTGACCAGAGCTGAGCCAGCTGAGGCTCCTGGGGAGCCAGCACATCTGATGCCAACCCAGGCAAACCCTTAGGGACCTTCCCAAATGCCCATCCCGTCTCCTTCCCTCACTCTCAGCAGACAGACACCCCTGACATCAAAGGCCATGGTGTATCTTTCCTGTTCTGCTCCCACCACCAAACTCCTCACAGCCACCTCCTTCCTGACCCTGCCTCTTCCCATCCATAACTCCTCCCTCCATCCACACTCTGGATCCCAGCTGCTCCCAACTTTACAAACTCTCACCCTCCCTTCTACACCTGGATCTTATCTCATACCCACGTGTGAAGACATTCAAGTCTCCCCCATCAATAAAAACGCCACCCACTTTCCCTGAACTCACTGGAGACACTGTCCTACATCTCCCCTTCGGTCTTAGTCCATTTTCTGTTGCTCATAACAGAATACCTGAAACTGGTTTATGAAGAAAAGGAATTTATTTCTCCAAGTTATAGAGTCTGAGAAGTCCAAGATCAAGGGGCTATATTCAGTGAGAGCTGTGTTGCTGGTGGGGACTCTCTGAAGGGTCTTGAGATAGAACAGAGCATCACCTCAGATCTCTCTTCCTTTTTTTTGTTTTTTTTGTTTTTTTTTTTTGAGATGGAGTCTCACTCTTGTCACTCAGGCTGGAATGCAATGAATGGCGCAATCTTGGCTCACTGCAACCTCTGCCTCCTGGGTTCAAGCGATTCTCCTGCCTCAGCCTCCCGAGTAGTTGAGATTGCAGGTGCACACCACCACACCCAGCTAATTTTTGGATTTTTAGTAGAGATGGGGTTTCACCATGTTAGCCAGGATGGTCCTGATCTCTTGACCTCGTGATCCACCCACCTCGGCCTCCCAAAGTGTTGGGATTACAGGCGTGAGCCATTAGCAAGGTCCTCTTTCTTTCTTGTTCTTTGTTTTTTTTTTTTTTTTTTTTTTTTTTGACAGAGTCTCACTCTGTCGCCCAGGCTGGAGTGTGGTGGCGTGATCTCGGCTTACTGCAGACTCCGCCTCCCGGGTTCATGCCATTCTTCTGCCTCAGCCCACCAAGTAGCTGGGACTACAGGCGCCCGCCACCACACTCGGCTAATTTTTTGTATTTTTAGTAGAGACGGGGTTTCACTGTGTTAGCCAGGATGGTCTTGATCTCCTGACCTCGTGATCCGCCCGCCTCGGCCTCCCAAAGTGCTGGGATTACAGGCATGAGCCATCGCTCCCGGCACCAGCAAGGTCCTCTTTCTCCAAATTACCTTCAAAGGTGTATGTTCCCAGAGTTGCAACCTCAGTCCTGTGCATTACTCACCCTGGGCAATGTTAGCATTTCATCTTCAATCACAGCTTTAGTTACCGTCTATATTCTGGTGATTCCTAAATTTAAATCTTCAGCCTGAACTTTTCTGAGCTTCCAGTCCACATTCAATAGCCTCCAGACACCTCTGCTTGCCCATCCCATGTAAAGCTCAAACTCAATCTAATCAACACTCATAACTACATGTGACCCCACTGCTCCTGGATCCCCTCTTCCTGAGTCTGTATTGCAATAGATGGCATTGCCATAGCACTCGGACTGACTGACAATTGCAGGTGTATGGAAACCCAGCTTCCTGGCCTCAAGATGGAGCACAGTCTGAATTTTTCCAACCTTTCCTCCTCTACCCTTTTTCTGATTTATCTTGATAACACTTTAATAAATCACTGCATATAAATTCACATCTCGAGTTCTATTTCTGGGGAGCTCTACCTAATGCAAGTTCTTATCTTTTATTCTATCCCTGTACCTATCCTAGTGCCTAGTATACATTCAATGTTCAATAAATATTTGATGATAAATAAATAAGTAGATGAATGAATAAGAGTAGATGACATTGTAAATGTGAGTATCTCCTTCCTTATTCTCCCCCGTGAAGTTTCTCTAGGGGCCAGGTGTGGTGGCTCACGCCTGTAATCTTAGCACTTTGGGAGGCCAAGGCACATTAATCACTTGAGGTCAGGAGTTTGAGACCAGCCTGGCCAACATGGGAAAACCCCGTCTCTACTAAAAATACAAAAATTGGCCGGGCATGGTGGTGGGCACTTGTAGTCCCAACTACTCGGAAGGCTGAGGCAGGAGACTTGCTTGAACCTGGGAGGCGGAGGTTGCAGTGAGCCAAGATTGCACCACTGCACTCCAGCGTGGACAACAAGAGTGAAACTCTGTCCCAAAAAAAAAAAAAAAAAAAAAGATTTATCTAGGGCGACGCTTACTGAATACTATCTGAGCTTCTCAATGCATAGTGCAAGTAAATCTTGGCAAAAAGTAAAGGAGAAAGTATAAGATCAAATCTTCCTGAAATGCAAAAGTCTCTGCTATGCTTTCAAGGAGACGTGAGCCAGCCTGAGTCTGCTCTGCAGCTGCCCAGGAGCCAAGGGGAAGGAAGTGGGAAGCAGCATGATAGCCACTGCCTCTGCATCCCACAGCAGTCAGAACAGGCTTGCTCTGGGTTCAAATCTTCCCTTGTGAGCCCCCCTGCAGAGGACGACCTGAGAGGACACTGATACCCAGGTACTCAGCAAATGACTTTTTCAACTGGATTGACAGCCTGGAGGGAGAGGCGAATCCGTCAGGGCTTTGAATTCACAGAGGGGGAAGTAATTTGGCTTCTTCAAGCAAGCAGAATGGGCTCAGCCAGGAAGCATCTAATTTTAGCACTATCTTTGATGACAAAATCCTTTCAGGGTTTATAACCTAATGAGGATTTACATTTGGACTAGCAGTAAGGGCTTTCAAAGATAGAAGATGAGACATTTATAGATCTCAGAATACATGTGGAACCTTTAACACATTTCCAGAAATTTGAGTTTGGCCTCCTTTTAAGGTTCCTTTGTGAAGCCCTTCTTTGTGGCTGATTCATGCTCCCAGCTTCCTGCTAGGATGTGGCCCATGTTTCTAACACCTGGGGCAAGAGCTTGTTGACTTGAGCTGAGCACAATATTTCAAAAGAGGGCCAAAAATAAATTGCATTGCACACAAAGTTAACAGAAGCTTATCTTTGGACTAAAAACAATAAATTTGGGAGAATGAGCTTCATTGGAGCCTTCCTGTTGTACAGATGGAAGCCACTCTGAGACCCTGAACACACATCACACGAGGATCTTTTCATCAAGCAGTTAATCCTGAGATTTCACTCAACAGCCCAAAGACGGCTTATTTGCTTTTCTTTAACCATCTCAAGACTTTTTCACTGACTTCCCCATGTGCACCAACCCTGAAGGGAACTTAAAATGCAGTACTTAAGAGTGTGGGATCTGGAGCCAGAGGTTGAGTTCAGAACCGCGCTGCACCACAGATAAGCTTCTGACCGTGGACGAGGTACTAACCATGGCTCAATGTTCTTATCTTTAAGGCATGAGAAATAACAGTAACTCACTCCATTTAGGGATATTTTGAGTTATCAAATGAGTTAAGACATATAAAGGGCTTAGAATAGTGCGTGGCACATAACAAGTTCTCCAATAAGCATTAATGATGATCGTTAGCCATTCTTTTATTCTACTTACATAAGACCATGCATGCTTAGTAACACCTGCCCATGGAGAATGTCTCAGCCAACATCCCACTCAGTCATCCCAAGCACTGTCTCAACATTTGGGCTGAAAAGGGTCATTCTGTTATATTTGTACATATCAGCATAAGGCACACTCCCACGGCACTTTTGATTGGGCGACAGCCCGTGTATCCTGAAATCAATTCCTAGCCCAACAGCATATATGCATGTGTTTACTCATGTTCAAATGCTTAATTGTGCAGTTCTTTGCCGATCTGATACCATGTCTTCAGCTCATTTTAACCAGCTTCATTAATAAAGTTAATTATATTGACATCTATTTAAGAATGAGGAGGAGGAGAAAAGAAGAGAAGAGCAGCTAATTAAAGCCACCTTCTAAAGGATTTCTACCAATATGTATAAATGGCAGCATTTACATCTTAAGCTTCAAATGAAACTGTTCTGTTATCAGCCTAAAAGAAACATGTTTAAGGTTTTAAATAGTCTTTGTTGCCGTTGCTACATGCTCTCATTTATTTCTTATGTATTAGACTTAATAATAAGTAATAAAAGCAAGTTTGAGTTTCTCAAATGTTATATCTTTTGCAAGAGCCAAATTATTAATATTATTATTATTTGAGTCAGAGTCTAGCTCGGTTGCCCAGGCTGGAGTGCAGTGGCACCATCTCATCTCACTGCAACCTCTGCCTCCTGAGTTCAAGTAAATCTCCTGCATCAGCCTCCCGAGTAGCTGGGACTACAGGAGTACACCACCACACCCAGCTAATTTTGTATTTTTCGTAGAGATGGGGTTTCCCCATGTTGGCCAAGCTGGTCTTGAACTCCTGACCTCAAGTGATTCGCCCGTCTTGGCCTCCCAAAGTGCTGGGATTACAGGCATGAGCCGCCATGCTTGGCCATAGCCAGATTATATTGAGTAATACTTCAGTAAGTAAAGGAAACAATTCTGCTGGACTCTAGTGGCATATGAAAGTGTAAAATACAGTACACCCACATGGAAGCAATCCTTTCTAGCAATCACTAGAGTACTGCTTGTCCAGGTTTTTCCAAATGCAGCACTCCCTCCTGTCCTTTCTGTTCTCCTTAACTTTTCAGCATTCTACGTTCTGGGGGAAGCAGGGGAGAGAACTTACACGCAGTTTAGGACAGGGTTCCTGGCACAAGGGCTGCCTACAGCTCTTGCAGTTACCTCTGCCTCAGTGAAGTCACCCCTCATGGTCTTTGAGAATTCTTGGTTGACAGTCATTGCTGAAGTCCGTGGTGTCTGCCGTGGCACCTGAATTTCACACTGACCTTCCAGGCACAAGGTCCACTTTGGAGGCCTGCTCCTCCCTAGGATGTGCAGGACCCTGTGGCCTCTCTGGCTAATTGCTTCCCCCAGCTGTGGTTTCAGCTACCCCAGGGCCATGAGCTCTGGTCCCATCTTAAGGGGTTTGCAGTGCTTGCAGGCTTCCTTATGGAGCTCCCCAAACCTCTCTTCGTGACTCCTCCTCATTAGAGTCTTCACTCTGGGAGGAGGCAGAAATCATGGTGGGTGGAAGGGCTCTTCTCAGACTCCCCCCAGCAAGCTCAGTTCTGGCCTCATTGCCTTCTGAGCCCCTTGCCCGTTGAACTCCCTTTTTCTTCGCAAGTAAATAGCTGTGTGTATTAGTTCTCTTTCATGCTGCTGATAAAGACATAGCTGAGAGTTGGCCATTTACAAAAGAAAGAGGTTTAATTGACTTAACAATTTCACGTGGCTGGGGAGGCCTCACAATTATGATGGAAGTTGAAAGGCATGTCTCATATGGCAGCAGACAGGAGAAGAGAGCTTGTGCAGGGAAACTCCCCTGTATAAAACCATCAGATCTCATGAGACTTATTCACTATCATGAGAATAGCACAGGAAAGACCCACCCCCATGATTCAATTATCTCCCACTGGGTCCCTCCCACAACATGTGGGAATTATGGGAGCTAAAATTCAAGATGAGACTTGGGTGTGGACAGAGCCAAACCATATCACTGCATTTGCATCTTACTTTGTGTGCCCCCAGCTTTCTGGCTTATTTTATGCTTTCTGTGTTCAGGCCTCTGAGCTTTCTTGCTGAAACTCACGAATCCTTTTGTCTCTCAACAAACTCCAGCACTTGTTCATCTATATCCTTTAGTTTTTAGACTGTAATCTGTAGAGTGAATTTCAAGAGCCTGCTTTGGAACTCAAAAATCAAAAATCTGGCCTTTATCCTAGACATGATCATTCCTTCCCTTGAGGGCTGGGAGATAGAAAGCTGCCTGAATGCCAGTGGAAGATAGAGGGAACAAGGGGAAAACACCAAAATGATTCTCTGCCATGCATGGCCATGTACAATAGACATGAGAGCCTCCCAGAAAGACATGTTGAAGCCCTAACTCCAGTACCTGCGAATGTGACCTGGAAATAGGCTCTCGCAGTTGCCACCAAATAAAGACGAGGTTGTTTTCAACTAGGGTGGGCCCTAATTCAATAAAACTGGTGTCTTTATAAGAAGAAGGAAACACAGACTGACAAGCAGGGAAGATGGCAATGCATCTGCAAGCCAAGGAACACCAAGGATTCATGGCAACCTTGGAAGTCAGGAAGACACAAGGAATTATTCTCACCTACAGCCTTCGGAGGGAGCATGGCTCTGCTGACCTGACACCTTGATTTCAGACTTCTGGCCTCCACAACTATAAGAGAATAAATGTCTGCTGATTTAAGCCACACAGTTGGGGTCACTTCCTACGGCAGCCCTGGGAAACTAATACAAGGAGGTAGCCAGAGGCTGGTACCATCATGAATTGCTAGCCTACGCCACCTCTCTTCTCTGCTACCAGACTTCAAAATAGATGAGCATATTAGTGAATCATCTTTCAGATGCAAGTGAGTGGACACCCAGCCCATCTTGGTTTCAGCAAGAGAGAAAATTTGTTGGCTTAACCAAAGGTCTGAAAATGGATTTTATCAGCTTCAGGAGCAGCTGGATGCAGGGGCTCAAACAGCATTGCTGTTACCCAGCACCTCTGTATTTTCCCCTGGGCTTGTTCTTTGCTCTTCACAGGTCAACCCTTTCACTTGGTCTATTGCTCTACACTTTTATTCCTTCTTTGTGGTTGTTTACCACCAATTTCCTTCATCTTTCTCTGCTCAGCCAATCAATCAATCAATAATCAGTTTTTATATTGAAAGCTCATTCAGCATGAGACAGTGTTGTACAGTGGTTAAGAGCATAGGTTGTCAAGCCCATTTCCCTGTCAACTGCCTTCTCTATGTTCTTGGGAGAGTTATTTAACCCCTCTGTGCCTCAGTTGCCTCATTTGTAAGACAGGGATCATTTAAAAATTGGGCTCCTAGGGTTGCTTTAAGAATTGAGTTAGTAGATGTTAACTGCATGCAATTCAGTGAGTTCATATGCATTAAATATGGAGAACAAGGCCTGACACATAGTAAGCACCATATATGTGTTCCATATTTATGGAAGTAGAGGCACACTATGCATGATTGTTGCTATATTGATGGTATAACATTACAAAACTAGCTTTTGACTTAGGCTTGCCATCTCTAAAAGTTCCATATATTAAGAATGTGAGGCTCTGAGAGGTTTATTATCTTTTCCAGGGTCACCAAGCTAGCAGAAGTGTAGCCAAGATTCCATAAGAGGTTGAGCATTTTCACTATACATGTTTGGTCTCTCCTGCACTCTCGCTCTTTCTCTTCTGTCAACCATGATACCCAAGTCTCCCTCACCCTAAAAATATCTTTCCTCCACCCTGCTTGGACCTAAATGTTCCCTATATGCCCTAAAGTTTCCATCGTCTGTCTCCCCCTTTATTTACTAGGATCCCATAAAAGTAAGTGGCTGATACTGAGCTTTTCCACATTTCCTGTCCTTACAGTCTTCACTGACCTTCTTACTCTTTACAACCTTATTTTCTTTCTGGAATTCTCCCAAAAATATGCTCTTGAAGGTCACCAAACATCTCTCAAATATCAAATCAAATGGCTTTTCCTAAGGCCATCTTCCCCCGACCTCTGTGTAAAGGGTGTTCCTTTTATCCATGGCCTCTTCCCTCGAGCCCTCTCCCACCTTTGGCTCCGTTTCACCTCCCACTGGCCCATGGCTTTCTCCACTGCGACCTTGAGGCCCCCACTGCTCCAAAGCAGAGTCATCAAGTCAGCAGGAAAGAAAGAAGGAAGATGTTAAGTACTTCATCATCTGAGTTTTGTCTTTTGTTAAGCTCTAGGTCAAAGAAAAGAAGAAAATATTTTTTAACTACTTGCTTCTTCTAAGGAAAAATACTCTCTTCAGGCCAAAAGAGAGAGCATGGGAAATGAAAAGAATGAAGTGCATATGGGGTTTCTCAGAAGGAACCATGAACCCACCCAATGACTGGCCCCAAGGGGATTGTCGTTGTTTGACAATCTTAGAGTTAAGGGGTCCTGAGTGCACTTTGCCTCCTGCTACCCTGGGCACCAAGACAAGTAGGAACAGGTGTCTGCTCAGAAGGCTGAGGCCAAGGGCATGAGGAAGGCTCACAGTGGGCCCCCGCCCCTGCTGACCCATAATAGAGTAGAGAGGAATCAAATATGGCAGCAGACAATGGAGGAGGGGACACTGTCCTTGGGTAGGGTGGACTGGCCAGTGGAACCAATAAGTGCCAATGGGACAACACTCACTGCAGAGGAGGCCAATGCCTACCGAGGCCAAGGAAAACCCGTCTCTCCCCTGCTGAGACTGAGAAGCCGCCATGTCAGTCCCTGGAAGGAATGTGTCCCCTCTGAAGTGAAGGTGGTGGGAGAGGAATCTGAATAGTCATTGTGCTTCCTGTGAATTAGGGAGACTCTATTTCTGCTCCTTGCAAGAAAGGGGCCTCCAGAGAGAAAGTCAGTCACATTTCTAGCACACCGAAGGTGGTGGATTGAGAAATTCCCGCCTGTCACAGAAGCAGCCTTTTTCTACACCATCTTTAGATTTTTCAGATCCTGTTATTCCTTCAGCCTGATTGACCAGTTAGAGTCTATAAAAATCAGGGTTAGATCTGAGCAACAAAACCATCAGAGTGATAGAGACCGAGAGACAGAGAGAGACTATTTAACCGGCTTCCATCCTTGACTGTTTAACCAGCTTCCATCCCTGTGTGAGGTCACATTCCCTTATAATAAATCCCTTATGATATGGGATTTGATACCTTATGATATGATTATAGGGATTTGATGCCACATAATGATGGAAGCTAGTTAAATGGTCTCTGCAAGGCTGTCGTCTTTGTGTCTGGTGCTGGGATTTAAAGTCCACGGGGAGGCAGTGAGGAAGAGGGGAGGGACTTGAAGTGGGAGAGAGTGAGGCCACAGGCAGGAGCCAGAATCCAGGAGAACAGACTGGAACCTGGCGTGGGGCTGTGTTCTGAACATCATCACCTCTTCACCTTGTAGGCAAAGGAGGGATTCCCTGCCCAGGATTTTGAGCCTGGTCAAACACAGGACACCCCAACACTGAACAGGTGAAATTGACAGGTTGGGAGGAGGACACCATATACCATTCAGTGCCACACAGGGGTTTCACCCAGGAGCTGAGTGAACAAGAAAAGGCTAAGGGAGGCAGGCTCTGTGGTATCAAGAGAATGGGGTGCCCCTTGGCTTCTGCAGGAGGAGATGGTTCCTGCAGAGAACAGAGTCCCCTACCAACAATAGCAGGTACTGTGCCTGGCTCTGGTATTAGGGAGAGCGGCTTAGCCAGGACACCTTCTCTGCAGGAGCACCGTGGGATGGGGAATTTGCCATTAGGCTGGGTTCCCCAGATGTGAAGGCACACACATAATATTGGGCTGTAGCTTTAGGCCTCATACCCTAGTCTCTCACACTTCTAGGCCTCAACTTCAGTGACAGGGCTGGGGGTTCTGCAGGAGAAGCTGGCTTTCCTTGTCATGAGGCTGAGTCTGCCTGCAGCCCAGGAGTTGGAGAACAGAGTGGGCATTCAGCAGGAGCTGGAGGCTGAGCAGCCAGATGAGCCACAGGTGAGGACAAATTGCACAGGCAGTTTCAGAGCCCAGCCCTGTGCATTGGAGGAACATAGCTGTTGCTATGTTCCAAGGGCTGAAGGAACATAGCTGTTGCTTCTCCTTTACCTTCAAAACCTTCTGCAAATGCCCTGTGGCCCACCTCCAACCCACCCTCCAAGGGGAGCAGAATTCTGGAAAATGTAACTCCAGCGTAGCCAAGTCAACGTGTGAAGCCACCACAATCCCTGCCTTTCTTCCACGTTCAGTGGAAGTTCCATTTCCTGATTATCTCAGCTGAATATGACCCCTTTCTCCTCTGAACCTCCTGATCCTTCTCTAATGGCACTTTTCACTTTGTGCTAGATAATAACCATTTGTGATTACATTTTATTTCCCCTAATAATGATAATTAAACCAGGACGGGCCAGATCTTGCCCTGTATCTCCTCTAATTCTCCCAACAGGCAGAAAGCAAGCATGATGATCCCCCTCTTCCAGGTGGAGAACACTACTCAGGGAACATGGGAAACTCACCTGAGACAATGGCAGTAGAAGGGGCAGTGATGTGAGCCTGAAACCTAGACTCTCTGCTGACACTCAGCCTACTCACCAGCTCTCAGCTCCCCAAGGGAAAGGGACTGTGCCTTATCTGTGTCACTTGCATGCTGACTATTTCTGTAGCTTGCACAGAATAGTAACCCACTTGGGATTCATTCAAATCCTTTTCCTGTGTGCAAAGCAAAGGACCCATTTTTATGGAGACCACAACTGCAATTGATTAAACCTCAAATCACCATGCAGTTGATATTGACTGGCCCCTGGCAATGTTCGTGTCCTCAAACGATATAATGACTCTTCTGATGACAAGCTTTTGACTTGGGCCCCCTGACCATGCCTCAGGCTCCAGGCTCTGTGTTCAGTGCACACAGTCCTTTGTTTGATGTGCACCACAGCCCCCATGGAAGGTGTTACTACCCCCATTTTACAAGTGAGGAATCTCAGACTTGCAAATAACCACTTGCCCAAGGTCATGGACTTATGAAGTACAAAAGCTGGAGTATGAAGCACCCAGAACTCCTTATCACTGTCTCAGGGGCTGCTCTTGCAAGGTGAGAAGGCTTCACCTTGTACCACCTGCCAGATTCTAACATGTCTCAATGCCTTTCTCCCCTCCAGACGCCTCAGCTCCTTGCTTGCCAATGCTGTCTACTCTGTGTCTCAACCGCCGCTTGTTTCTGTGTTTTCTTGTCCATCTCTGCAGCCGTTGCTGGGGCCAGGTGCTCCTTCTCTCAATGCAGTGTTCTCCCAACCAGCCACTTGGACTCCAGTCCTTCTCCCTCCATCCCCTCCTTCATATTCCTGAAAACTCCATTCTCCCGAAATGGGAATCTGATGACATAAGTCCTCCACTGACATTTTTGGTGACTTCCTGTTGCCCCAGGACATGACACTCAGGGTCCCCTGGTCTCGCTCTACATACTACACAGACTCAACTCCCCAGCTCCTTGCAGCAGTAACTCCAGAACTCACCATGGCTCTCCATGCCTCTGAGCTTTTGCTCAAGGGCTTCTCTTTATTGGGAACACTTTGCCATGCCTAACTCCTACCCAGTCTTCAGAATGTCCCTTCAGGTGTCACCCTGTGAGCCCACATCTGGGACAGATGCTCCTGAGTACCCCGGGAAACCTCCATCAAAGCCAGGGTCACCCTGAGCTCTCTGACTACTCTACTTGTCTCTCCTCTTACCAGATGGAGCTTCTGGGTCCAATGGGTTCATCTATTCATCTTGGCACCCCCCACTGGTCTAGCCCAGTGCCTGGTAAACAGTGGGGGCTCAATATAGTTTTGTGGAATGAAAACAGTGATGAAACAGCAACTGCACATTGATTGAGTCCTTATCACATGCCAGGAACCTAGAAAGCCCTTCCCAGGCATTATCTCATGTGATCTTCCCAATATCCTTATGAAACAGCAATCTTCATTTTACAGATGCTGAAACAGTGGCACAGAGCCGGAGAGCTGTAATAACTTCCCCCATGCTACTCATGGGTGGCTGAGCCAGGCGTGGGGCTCCATGGCTTGGATTCCATCACCACGCGTTTCCCAGGGCTGACCAGGCAAGGCTTTGAGCACCCAGCCTGCACCTTCGGCAGATGAGAAGCTGTGCTCTCGGATCCATGGCAAAGCAAGGGTTAACTTATCTAAAATACGCTGTGCTGCTGTGTAGGGCCCTTAGGAGTTAGCAGGGTCTTGTTTAATGAGGGAGCATTTCCCAGGGTCTGGATTGCAGGAATTAACACACTGGGGTCAGGTCAAGTTACAAACTCATGGGAACCTCCTCAGCCTCAAAGAGAATCAACAGCTTGATAAACAAAACAACAACAAAAAAAAGACACCTGCTTAACAGAGAGCCCGAGGGTTAACAGAAAGGACATTCATACTAACAAAAATTTCAGGCTGATAAACGTTGGAAATGCTGCCCCTCTCGTCACTTCAGGAGGGTTTATTGCTTCTTGGGGTGACCAGTTGCTCCTTGCAGAAGAGGCTATTCATGGGCCCAAGCCCTGTGAGACCATTAAGTCTTTTTCTTTTTTAGTTACTTTTCTGAATGTTTTTGAGTTTTCTCATTAGGATGAAAGCAAATTTTATGCTGTAAACAATTTAAACATCCTCTACCGTGTCCCCATTAAGCAGGAAGTCCTCTCACATGGTAAGCAATGGCTATTTTTAATTAAGTTTCACTGCTAATGTTTCATAATTTTCAAGTAACTCTTCAAGTTGATATTTTCAGCCAAAGGGTGCTCTTGGGTTTAGGCCCAAATGAACAATTTGTGAAAGACTTAGACTTACTTGACCCAAATGCGTTCAGCTTAATGAGAATTTTTAAAAACATTTTTACTTTTTTTTTTCCTGTTTATCTTGGGTCTTGGGTTGATTACTATCTCTTACAAAGCTGGCATGCCTTCTGCTTCTTCTCCTAACCACTCCTCTTTGTCCTCTGCATTCAAGATACTACCTTTGTACACCATACCAGATTCGCCGGAGGCAGGGCTCCTGGCCTCTTGAATTTAAGGAGGGCTCGCCAGGATCCCGCATCCTTGTTCCTTCCTCAGACTCAAGTGAGGGGGCATTATAAGTTCATAGATGTCAACCAGAATGCCTTCATGGAAACATTATGACATTCTCTCAAAAAAAAAAAAGTAAAATAAAAAACAACCCAGTTCATGGTAGATATAAATATACTGTATGATCAGATGTCAGGCTTCCTCATCATTGGCATCACTATTTGGATATTTGCATCTGAAGCAACATGATTTTTGGTGTGTTATACAAATGTAAGCCACCATAAGTGGACACAAAGCCCTTTGGCAGCAACAGCAGTCTGTGTCCTCAACCCCATTCTTGGGCTGCTGCAAGCACGGGACCTTTGATAGTTTAACATCCATATTCTGCTCTCTACAAATGAAAAAGATCAGAGGCAGAAGTCATCATGAAGATACTGCGAGTGCAGGTGAGTCAGCCAAAGTCACATACCTCCAATGGGCAGCCAAGTGGAGGTCAGAACCCATGTCTCACTGACTCCAGTTTCTGCTTTCGTCCACTCAAAAACCAGAATGGATTCTAGAACCAACCCAGCCACTGAAATAACCAGGAGGAAACAAGAGCCATTCCTGGGGAGGAGAGGTCAGGAGTGGCAGTGAGACTTATGCGGAACTCACATTGGAAGAAAACGGCACCTCTGAGTTACTTTAAGGGACCTCTGTCTTAGCACAAATGAAGCTAGGAGTACAATTCATGAATAGCTTTCTATATTTCAGAGTCAGTACTTTGAGGAATAATTGCTGGAGACTGGCTTACCGTTTTTAAATCAGCCAGAACACAAGTGGTTGTCCATCCAGTGCAGTCAGTGAATGGCCAGAAAGAAAAGGACGCCGCAGAACCACACCAGTGGAAAGAAGAGGGCAGAGACAGGGTCTCTTCAGTGGCCCCAACTCTCAGGGGGAAATGGATTTGCACTCAGTACCAGAACCAGGCTATTCTAGGGTACATAGGAATATTGGTTTCTTAAGCACATATTATAGTCAAAGTCTCCTGCCTAGCCAGCTGTGTATACATCTTCCCTAGCATGATTTGATTCTTCCCAAGTTTTTCCTTGGTTACCTCTGTAAGGCACCATGGAGAGGCCCCTTCTAGGGAGACTGGGAAGGAAGCTGAACAGGAGAGGTCACCCACCATCCGGTGTTAAGGTTCTGGATCTCAGAATAGGTGGAACTGGGATGTCTCCTCCATCAGAGCCTGTGAATGGGGCCCCCACTTGGTTGAGTCTGCCCAAGGTCATACATTTGTACATAAAATTAAATAAGGGAAAAGGGGAGCATCTATCAATTATGGATCTTTTCAAGCACATCACAGTTTCCCAATAAAGAAGGACTCAGAGAAAGATCAGAATAACTCAAACTTCTACCACTAGTTTGAGCTGCCCCTCCCAATCAAATGTTCAGCATTTTCTACTCAATAAAGAGCATCTTCTACTCAATAAAGAACACTCTATCAAATGTTCAGCATTTCCTACTCAATAAAGAGGCAACTATAAGTCCTGGAAAATATGATTCCCACTTTTAAAACTGTATCATCTGATTAGAGAAGTGAGATGAGTAGACTTCGCATACATAGTAAGACAAAACTGATTAAATTTAGTGCTGAATTATGCATTCAGGAAGAAAGATAAGGCCAAGGTAACCATAGGAGCCTTCGAGGACATAGTTATCTCAGTATTAAAAGGACTGATTTGGATGATGGAGGAAAGACCTAGATGCTCAAGAACCACGTGTGTGAGGAAGAAATGTGAAATGGAGGGGCAACATAGGCTGGGATGTTTTCTCTTCTGTAAAAGGAGAAAAACATCAGTCTTTTCAGCCTTATTGGATTTCTCTGGACAGGAAATTTAGGTAGCTGGTGTGTTTCAATTCAAGCCTGATGAGGAAGTTAGAAGCCATGGGGTCCTTGGAAGAATGAGTCCCTGTAGCCAATCAGAAGATTCCCCCATAAGCCTCTCTCCCTCCTGAGATACCACTAGCCCCACCCTACTGCTCTGTCTGCTGCTCCCCACAGCTCTCCTCGGAGTAGAGGAAAAGTGGGGTAAAGCAGCACTCCTCCTCCACGAAGACCAGTGAGAGGTCTTCAAGACTGGGCACCCCAAAGCAGCCTGAACCTCCTCATGAGACGTTGCAAGAATCCAGGAGTTCCCTGTGGATTGAATGAATACCAAAGGTTGTTCTGGCATGTGGATACCCAGTCAAGAGGGGTCTTTTAGACATGAAGCAAAAACTGAGGGCATGACTTCCTATAGTGGGAGCTAAGGAGTTGGAGATCTCCATACGGTCTCCAAAGAACCATATGGGTGTCCACCAATGATGGACCCTTGGATTTCCAGCTTAGCAAGAGCACCAAAGGCCAGCGTCAGCCACCGAGGCCACAATACACAGCAAAGCAGACTGTCATCTCACCCAGTCACTCGGGGGGCACTTGCACTTTCTTGCCAACTTCCTGACCTTATACTCAGAGGATCCTAGAAGAGAGATAGGGAGGAGGAGAAGAAGGAGGAGGAGGAGGAGAAGGATAAGGGGGATGAGGAGGAAACAGCTGAGGTGTACTTGCTCTGTAGGCAGGAGACAAGAGATCTGAACCCATCTCGACAGTGACGTTTGCAGGGGAACAGCACTGAATCCTGAGTAGCAAGATGAAACTGTGCTGAGAATCAGTGGGGCTGAGAAAGAAGTGGGGCTGCAGCAGAAAGTCATTGAGGATGCCTGGAGAAGGAAGGGTTCATCCTAGCAGAGTTGGAAGGGGCAAATATTGGAAAAAATAAAACTACAGGGTTTCCTGTGCATCCTGCCAGTGAACTGACACTTCACAAGAAGCCAATGTTCATTTGTATTTGTGAGAAATGAATATGTTCACGTTCCTGAAAGTTAGCATTTCGGGCTTCTACATAAACCTATGGCTCAAGCTTTGTCAATACCTTTGCAGGTGCTTCTTATCAAGGAATCAGAAAGAGTAAATAGGAAATCATTAGCTTCATAATAGGAGCATAAAACATATAATTCACAATGCTTATTGTTTTCCTTTTTTGCCCTGCTGCAGTCCAAAGTGACAATAAAAGCTATTTCCCCTAATTCACAACAACCTCAATTTCAGTTGACAGAAAATTCCCAGACAGTGGTTGTTTTGGTGAGCACTACATTTACCCTACGAAGAAATATTATATATGCAAAAAGCCATATTTACATAAAGAAACATCCAGTAAAATAAACCATTTGCTACAAAGCAGGTTTCAGGACCCAAGCATTCCAGTTAATTTGACTGTAAGGAAAGTCCTTGAATGGGAGCGGATCTTAAGTATTCAAAAATTTCCAGTGACCTAGTTTTTTAAGTTTATGTACAATTGTCATGATTTTTAGAATTCTTTTTCAGTCATATTTTGTTTTTTATGTCTAAAGTTGCAATTTACTCAATAATGCCCTGGCACCCTGAAAACATTAACGAGCATGTTTGAAAGCTGGTTTGAGGTACCTATAGAATCATTCACAAAAATCCTCAAAAACCTGCCTTAAAAGTCCCGTTTATTTATTTCTGGAATACAGCAAAGGTGGGCTTTCCTGGTGTGAGCTTCCTTCTCATGATCTTCACAAATAAAGAAGCAAAACCAAAATAGTCAAATGGCTCTGCTCAGGGTCATGAAGCAAGTGCATCAAAAATGGAAATGGACATTCTCTTTGTCTTTTTGCCAGTCCAATGACCACACAGATGGCTTCTTAACATGGTGGGAAGATGATGACCTATCCCCTTTATTCCTCCAATATCAGGAACATAGAGAAGCCGCATGGACAGGGTCCTTGGAGAGATGGGCTCTCCTTAGGCTCTGATTCTGGACCACAGACACTCCCTTCCTAAGAGTGATAGACACGAGTCAAGCACCCAAGTTACTCAATTATTTCTTTCTGAGATTTGCCAATTCCCAATGAAAGCCAAGGAACGTTATTACAAAATGTCAGTGATTTTTGATGCACTGTTTAATTTCTATGTTGATTCCACACACAGAAGCACAGGAAAATCTTTTATGACACTAATGTGAAACAGAGCTGTGGGTCTGGATTTGTCTGGACTGGAGGAACTTGGTGTTTACGGGTTCTGATGGCAACCGGCTGGGGATCAACCCCATGTAACTATCTCTCAGGCAACTCACCTGATTCCTAGAAACCAAAACCCATTCCAATTTTTACTTCTTTATCCCTATCAAAAAAAAAAAAGCATCTGAGGACTATAGACGCAACCTCAAAACCCCAAGTTCAGACAACGTTCAATATTTCCTAGGATTTTACATTCTTATAACAGAGCCCCTGAAAGCCAACCAGACAAATGCCTCCATGTGATGATAATGGAGCATGCACTGGGTTGAACTGTGTCCCCCAGAAAGATATGTTGGCATCCTTAACCCCTGTACCTGTGAATGGGACCTTATTTGAAAATAGAATGTTTGCAGATGTAAGCAAATTAAGATGCGGTCATATTGGATTGGGGTGGGTCCTAAGTCCAATGACTGGTGTCTTTATAAGAAAAGGGAAAATTGAGCACATAGGCACACACAAGGAGTACATTATGTGAAGACGGAGACCAAGATGAGAGTGACACAGCTGCAAACCAGGAAACACCACGAATTGACGGCCACCACCAGAAGCGAGGAGGAGGCAATGAAGGATTCTCTCCAGTGTCTCAGAGGTAGCATCTCCCTCTTGATACCTTGACTTCCTTTTTTGTTTTGTTGTTGTTGTTTCTTTTAGGAAAAGATAACAACCATCTTCATACTCACTCCAATTAAGATGTTATGTTTATCATCTTTATAGTTACCTCCCCCCATTACAGTGTAAATTCTTCACTGGTATAGAGCAGAGTCAGGCACATGGTGCATCTGTTGAGTTAAACAAATGTTTTAAAAACTACCAAAGACTATCATGAGAAAAAGGCTATTCTTATTTCCTGGAACCAGGATAAATCACTGACAAAGTCAGAGGCAGGGCCACAACTAAAATTCAAGTCACACAACAGCACTCTATGGAAAATCTACATACTCCTATAATAAAGATCTTCCAAATGGCCAAAATGTGTCATCCACTAGTTTGTGGGTAAGTGAATATGAAGCATGTCTCTAACTGATACCTTGACTTCTGACTTCTACCTTCCAGAACTGTGAGAGAATAAAGCGCTACCATTTTAAGCTACCCAGTGTGTGATATGGAACCTAGAGTTGCAAAGAAATCCAGAGTTGCATAGATTTTAGGTTTTTCTGTTTGTTTGTTTTTAATTCTTCTCCTTAGAATGCACATATTTTAAAGATAACAGCCCTCACTGACATTTCCATTTCTCCTTTGCTGAAGCTCAAAAGTGGTAGTGAAAATGTAACCTCCTGAGCCCCTCCCTGCATCCCTTGTTTTATCTTCAGCTCGAGGCTGCAACAGGACTCATCTGGAAATATGAAGGGCAGCTAGACCCATGGAGCCCATCACACACCTGGATCCTGTCCACAGGGCATCCCTGACATCTGGTCGGCCAACGGCAGAGTTTGCCAAAAATGTCAGAGTTTTGCACCCAGCGCGTGCTTCAGGATGCAATAGATAATAAAAAGCACATCAAACAAAATGACTTGAAGCCTTTGCAGAAGACATGCGTTAGAGCACATACCCTGAAATTGCAATGACAGGTGCTTCAAAGTTGATCAACCTAGATAAAATATGGTTAGAAGTTGGAAGCCAAGAGTCAGAAATGTTGGCCCTATTTCCTTCTCCTTGCTGAGCTGTGGTGCTTCTACCAGTAAATCATCTTTGCCTGTCTGGATTCCAGTAACTCAAGTACATCTACAGCTATAACTGCATCTAATTCCCCAAGGCATGAAATTACCACCTTATCATGAAGTGCCTATGAAGAGCAAAGGAATCATGTTAGATCTCACAACAAAGTGATCTGAGTTCCTCAG
This sequence comes from Homo sapiens, assembly GCF_000001405.40. Classification (NCBI taxonomy): domain Eukaryota; kingdom Metazoa; phylum Chordata; class Mammalia; order Primates; family Hominidae; genus Homo; species Homo sapiens. The sequence continues at coordinate 126,879 of NW_025791814.1, read as the reverse complement.
AAGTGGGGGAGAAGAAAGGTATATTCTGAATATTTGGTTCTTTAAAAATCACACACCTGTATTTGAAGGGAGCAGATGCTGAGGTGAAAGATGATTATGCAGATGACACTGACTCTGAGCAGCCACCCTGTGATAATTGTTATTAATAGTCATGCTTCATCTCTAACCCTAAGACCATTCGCATGGCCAAATTCTGGCCTGCTGTGTACATCTGAGCATCCCAAAACCTCTTCCAGAAAGCCAAGCACTTGCAGCAGCCTGGCTGGAAAGAAAAATATAAATTAATTAAAACAAAACCACCCCGCAGTGACCTCAAAGCTGAAAATACAGCTCTCCTGTAAAAATCTGTAAAAAGACATTGATTCGATTCAGGATGCTTTCTTTTGAGGGGGGTGAGGGGGACGGAGTCTCGCTCTGTCACCAGCCTGGAGTGCAGTGGCGCGATCTCAGTTCACTGCAACTTCTGCCTCCCAGGTTCAAGCAATTCTCCTGCCTCAGCCTCCCCAGTAGCTGCGACTACAGGCACACATCACCATGCCTGGATAATTTTTATGTTTTTAGTAGAGACGGGGTTTCACCATGTTGGCCAGGATGGTCTCCATCTCTTGAACTTGTGATCTGCCAGCCTCTGCCCCCCAAAGTGCTGGGATTACAGGCGTGAGCCACCACGCCCGGCCCGATTCAGGATTCTTAACTACAGGAGACCAAGGGTGATAAGAGCACAGATGAAAATGTAAATTGTCCATGTTGAAGAAGGAAGAGCTGGTGGAAAGAAGAACCTTTCGGGGGCTCATTGCTGACCCTAAGATGAGTACAGAAACCAAGAGAGTGATCAAATGTTGTGATGGGTAAAATTACATCCCCTGCTACCCAGAAGAGGTATGTTGGCTTCCTAACTCCCAGTACCTCAGAATGTGACCTTATTTTGAGATACAGTCTTGACAGAGGTAATCAAGCTCAAGTGAGGTGCTTAGGGTGAACTTTAATCCAATATGAGTGGTGTCCTTACAAAAAGGAGAAATTTGGGAACAATTATACTCATTCAGGGAAGACAATTATCTTTGCCTGTTTTGTGCTGCAATAACAGAACACCACAGGTCATGTAATTTATAAAGAAAAGAAATGTATTTTGTATAGTTCTGGAGAGTGGGAAGTCCATGATCAAGCTGCCAGCAGGTTCATTGCTTAGTCAGGGTCTGGCCTCTGCTTCTAAGACGGCGCCTTGAACACTGTGTCCTCGGGAAGGGGTGAATGCTGTGTCCTCACATGGCAGAGGTTCCAGGCCTCAGAGACATCAAAAGTGTGTGTGTGTGTGTGTGTGTGTGTGTGTGTGTGTGGTGGGATGTGGTGTGGGATGTGGGAGGTAGGATGTGGGGTATGGTATAGGGGAGCAGGGTGTGTGGGAAGGTAGGGGGCTGTGGTGTGTGGAAGTGTATGTGTAGTGTGTGGTGTGCTATTTGTGTGTGGTGTGCATATGTGTGGGGTGTCTGGTGTTTGGGTGTGTTTGGTATGTGTGGTGTGTGGTATGAGTGTATGTGTGTGCACAGTGTGTGTGGTGTTGGGGGAGTGTCTGGGAGTGTGTGTTTGGTGTGTGTTTGTGTTATATGTGAGTGTGTGTGTGTAGTGTGAGGGGTGTCTGGTGTCTATGGGTTTGGTGTGTTGTGTGGTATGTGAGTGTGTGTGCACAGTGTATGGTGTGCGTGTTTGTGTGGTGTGTGTGATGTGTTTTGTGTGGGTGGTGATTGTGCATGTGTGTGTAGTGTGGAAAGTGTCAGGTGTGTGTGTATTTGTGTTGTATGTGAGTGTGTGTGTGTAATGTGGGGTGTCTGATGTGTGTTTGGTGGGTGTGTGTGGTGTGTGTGATGTGGTGTATGTACATTTGCGTGGGTGGTGAGTGTGTGTATATTTGTGTGTAGTGTGGAGAGGTGGCGTGCGTGTGTTCGGCGTGTTTGTGTTGTATGTGAGTGAGTGTGTGTGTGTGTAGTGTGGGGGTGTCTGATGTATTTGGGGTGTGTGTGTGTGTGTGTGTGTGTGTGTGTGTGTATGTTTGGTGCGTATGTGTGGTGTCTCCTGAAGAGCCCTTCAGAACCGTGTCTGGAAAGGTCAGAGTGACCCTGACCGTGGAGTAACATGACCTCCTGCTGACAGACTGGACTGTAGATTGGGAGCCCATGGATGCTTTAGAGACCCTGTGGGCCCCAGATGATGCAGGGATGGAGGAAGAAGGGAAGGGGCGGGAAGGCCAGTGTGACAATAATCCATTCTGGAGATGGGTCAGCCTCCATAGGCCAACTAACATCATATTTGGGGGTTGAACTAGAGGAGAGGCTGTGAGAATGTCTGGGAGACAGAGTTTTAAAAAGAAACACCAAAATCCATGACCAAGTAGGGGAGACAGGTAGGTCCCAGTGATGCAATGCTGGTGGAGAACTTGAATTAGGAGCCAGGATCTTGCCTTGGGGCAAGGGCAGGATTTGAACCTTCCCTCCAATGTCTATTAGCTATGACCTTGGAGTTTACCAATCTCACTATGCTTCGTATTTCCAAAATGACAAATATGAACAGATCATACCTCAAAAGATGACTGAAATTATTAAATATACAATACCAATAAAGCACTTGGTATGATGCCTGGCGCAAGATAAGCATTCCTAGAACATTAGCTACTGTGGGGGAAGAGAAGCACCAAAGTACACTTTGAAAATCTGAAAAAAATCTATGTACTTTCTTCCCAGAAAAATGCACTGTGCAAACACACCCTCCCCACACCCCCACATCCATAGGTATGCACACCACACGGACACGGACACACACACACACACACACACACTCAATTTTGCATAAAACTTCCCCGGAACTATCGGCTCCCAGCAGCCGTGGCGGATTTTGTTAAATGCTCATGGATCCAGGCTAAATCGTTCCAATCTCCATAGAGGCGTCCTGCAGATATTCGGAAATGTGGCTGGATTTCCAGAGACTAGTCAAAGCCAGAGACATGAAGTTGGAAATCTCCAGCACATGTTTGTCCAAGATCATGAACCCTGAAGACATTCCGCGGGAAGTGGGGAGACTCAAGGGGGAATTTGGACGGCCTCACGCAGTCCACAGGCCGATGGGAAGGGGTCAGCAAACTGAAGAAGAAGCCCCCACACCAGAGAGCTGCAAACAGCGCTGGACCACCGGCATTTTAACTCCAGCTGGGTAATGTCTTAAGAACACAAACCACCACAACGAAAGCCCATAGGCAATTATTTTAAATTTCGTTGAAGTACATTTCACCATCAAATCCTTCTGTCTTATTTGGAGGCTGAATTTTTTTTCAAGCTTGTTTCTCCAGCTGTTCAATTTAAATTTATCCCTTTGCATAAAACTGTATTTCCCAAACCAAAACCATGGTACACATTTAGAAATAAGAGTATTTTTAGGGTTTATGGATTTATTTATGAGAAGTTTTACAAGCATACAAAAAGTAACATTTAGTTATGTAAGTTCAACAAATTAAATTTATTGAAAATAACAAAATTAGATGAAACCACAGAGATTCTGGAAAATCCCATTCTCCGATTTGAGATATTTTCATGGGTACCACTGCTGGGCAGAGAGCAGTGGCCCAATACATACTAGTTTCTCCTACTCCCTTTCAGCCTCAGCTTCAGAGGACAATGGGGAAGGAAGGAAGGAAGGAAGGGAGGGAGGGAGGGAGGGAGGGAATGTTAGTGTTAAGAGATGGGGAGGATGTGGTGCAGAAGGGGGAAGGAAGGAAGGAAGGAAAGAAGGAAGGAAGGGAGGGAGGGAGGCAGGCAAACTTGGTGGGATGAGGATGTGGTGCAGAAGAGGTGGGGTGATGGCATCTGGTGATCCAGGATTCTGCTCCCTTAGATGATGGGATTTGCAGGGCTCCTCTCACTAAGTTTCATGGTGGTTGTGTTACTGACCACAAGTTCTTAGGCCCCCATGCAACAGAAATTGTCACTAGGCCAAGCAAGTTTCCTAGACAAGCTTTATTAAGACTTCTGCCTGAAACATTGGGCATACATTGGGAGACAGCACAGGAAGAAGGGTCCTCTGGCTGGCACCCCAGGGGAATGCCTTGCGGTGTCTTAAGAAGGGTGACATGCATAACTCACGAGGTAGGTGAGGGTCATTTCACGTGCAGGGTGGAGTGCAGGGTGTGCAGATGCAGTAAGAAATCATGCTAACACATATTTTGCATGATTAGAAAATGGCAGCTAAGCCCCTCCCTGGGCGAAGGTATTACAATGAGGCTCAGAGTAAGGATTGGTCATTCTCCTGGTCTTGTGCACATGTGGGCAATAGACTTAACTCTCCTGAGTGGAATTTATGGTGAAATACTTCTTAGCTTAGTTTTTTTAGACAGCTTGCAAGGTCTGGTCAGCGGGTATGAGCCAGCTGGGGTGATGCCAGGAGGTCCGATGGTCAGCAGGCATGTATGGAGAAACATGTAGGTGGGGGTGGGCTCAGACCTGTCCCTACTCTGGCTCAGTTGGTGTATGTGGGTTTTTAGTTTTGTGCTCTGGTGTTTTTGTGGGGAATGTAGGGAGTTTCCAAAGCCATGCCACCGTCTGCTTCTTTCCGCTAGATGTTTTCATCAGCAAACTTGCTAAGCATCACTTAGTGATAGAAACGAGTACCACAGTCCATGAGAAATTTTCCCTTGACCCATCCTGGTAAGCACCAAATTGAAACTTGCAGAAAATCCAGGGTTAGTTGTTCTTTGCAGAACTACTGCATTAGCAATGGCACAGAGGGAGACATGGTGCTGATAATGACAAACATGGCAGCTAAGTACAGCGTGATTTGGGCCCTGAATCTGAATCTCAGTTTGGGGATCAATTCCCCCAATGCAGTCCGTGCGCCTGTGTCATGACACCTCAAACTACAGTGAGCAATGACAGGCCTTCCCTCCTTGAGAACTAGACTCCTATCTTAATCCTGTTTTAGTCCCCAGCACAAAACAGAGTCCCTAGCCCATAGATGCATTTTTTTAAATCTATTAATTAAGGGAAGGAATGATGCTTTAAGTTCTAGTTCTTGTCAACTGAATCCTATGAAATGCTTTTCTTTGTTGCACAAAATCCAGGCTGCCTATGTTATCGAACATGGAAAGGTGTGAAAACAAAGCTCTCTAATGAAATGGGCTCTGAAATCATTGGAACCTATGTCCACTGACATTGGTGGCGATGGTAGTAGGGTCCTTTAAACACCCTGTGGTGCTATAGGATGTAAGATGAAAATGGATGCGATCCTCCATTGCACCATCAGAAATCAACCTCTTCCCTTCTCCAGTAACAGCAGATCAAGCCATTACTGTTGAATATTTTATGCTCAACAGCATGTGGTCTACATAAAGATCATATTCATTTATTTACTTACACATTTAATAAATATTTATTGATCACCTACCATAAGCAGGGCCATGAGAGTAAAACAGTGAGCAACGGTTATGCACACCCCAGGAATATGACAAAGAAGATAAATTCATGACATAGAATCGAAATATGACAAATTATGTCCTAATCATGATCTGTTCTATATGAAAAGATCTTCTCTTGAAAAATACGAGAGCATTTTGGAGAAATTTGCATGTACTGATTCCAAAGTTGTGCATTTGCAGGCCAGGCATCTCGAGGCTGATCTACATCATAGCTGAATTTTACATAGGAAAAGGAGCTGGAGGGAAGTTACTGTGCTAGAGTATATAAAATATATTTCCAATATTTTCATGCCAAAGATATTCTGGTTTCCCATTAAACTCCTAGAATTTTGCTTTTCTCTTTTTCCTTTTTATTTTTCTGTTAGAGTACTTAAAGTATATTTTTGAGTTTGGTAGTAGTAGGTGGTCTGCCACCAGGTGGTCTTACTAAAGATCATAACTCTTGGCTAGAAAAGGGGAAAATAAGCAGAGAACCCTCAATGAATAACTCTCAGAAAAATTATTCTTTTCAGCCGGGCTCTGTAAGCAGAGACTTGACATCTAACATGTCGATTTTGAGGGAAGGCTGGTTTCTTATGATCACAACAAGTTTCTTATGATCTTGGTTAAAGACTGGAAAATAAATGGTTCATTATTTTCTTCCTTGAGACTCCTTTACTTTTGCCTTATCCAAGTGTGCAAAAAGAAAGGCTATCCTCCTCACCCAGTCAGCTTTGACGTCTACAATACTTGAGGTCAGGGACACTCATTCTGATCTGCACAAAACAGTGACCAACAAGATTTCTTTTGCCTTCTGCAAGGCCTCATTCTGATATAAAGGACCTAGTTAAATGGATTATAAGTATTCAGCTCTTGATGCTTAATCTAAATTTTCCATATTGGGTTCCTTTCTTGTTAACTGAGTAACAGCAAATGGAAAACAGGGCACTTACTGGTTGAAATAAAACTGGTAAACACATTTAGAAGACATTTGGATGCTCAGCAGATGTAGGGGGAGTCTGCCTGTGGGCTGGTGCAGGTGAAGGAAAAAAGATAGCTTCCTTTAATGTCCTTAATGGATGTGGCAATTTGCTTTTTCTAGTCAAGAATCAACATAAATTAGTTGCCTATAACAACGGCCAGCCATTAGAATTAATTCTTGGTTACTATGTGGTTAATATCCTAAATGGAAAATACCTATTAGCATGAATATTCATATGGCACCACAGGCCATTAAAACTCCATTTATTCCACAAACAGAGTACTTGATGATTTTGGAGCCAACTTCTTTTAAGTAGCATCAATAATAGAAACTTTCAGATCTTCAAAGTCTGTCTTTTGAGCTCAAAATAAGAGGCAGGATTGTGTCCATTTACTGAGAGAATTATGCTGTGGAGCTGGGAATTTCATCTCCATTTCTTCTTGATTTCCCAGAATCGTTACACTTCTGAACTGTATAATAAATTTCAACTTTGTGATAGCAGTCGATGAAGGATTTGTTTCCTGGATTTAATGGAGTGGTCACTAGGAGATGGGCTGGGACCACCAGGATGTTTCTCAAACTCCGCCAAGATTTTTATAGCACTAAAAAATTATTTCTGCCAATAGAAGCTCCCTGCTGCAGCAATCTTAAAAGAAATTCACTGCCTGCCAGCGGGTTCAGACTGTAAAACGATTGAATTAGAAAAATTAAAGCTGAAAACCCCTGGAGAACGGGCACAGATTTCCCAAGTGAGCTATAAGACTGTAACCACTAATTTCTTTTCATCTTTCCTCTGACTAATGTGATCTTTCTACCTAGTTCTCAGAGAAACCTGCCCAGAAAAAGTCAGGAGAAAGAAGAAAGAAAAGGGGCTGAGGCAACCAGAGAAGGAACACAGGCTAACCACAAGGCATGCCACTCCTGGGACCCAGTAAGAAGGACTTGCCCCATCCTTGATGGCCAATATGTGGACTAATAAAATGTATGGGACATTAGTCTTACCGTCAAGCAATCATACATGAACACAAAGGAGGAAGTCATGCCTGGAACTCCTTTTTCAAAGGAGCATACCATTAAAATTTAGAATGTGGCCATATCTCCACCTTCCCCAAACCCAGTGGCCTTTTCCTAATCCACATTCAAATCAACTAGTATTTTTTCAGAAAGAACCTTATAGATGGCTTATGCGGAGGTATTTCAAAGGAACCAGCTATATGATCCTGATGACGATCATTACTACTGCGGAATGTCTGTTATGCCCCAGACACTGTGCTAGGAGACTGTACATGTTACTCCCTTACATTTAATCTGCATCACAGGTGACTCTCCACACATAATAAATGAGGAATTGAAGCTAAGTAAAGGTAACCGACTTCCCCAGGTCAAGAAAATGGCCCAGTCTCATTCCAAAACACAGAGATCTCTTTTCTTGGCAAATAAAAGGAAATGATACTGATAAAAAAAAAGAAAATGATACTGATATCAGCGTATTGCTATTCGGTTGTTTCCCACTAGGAAAGGTGGCACCCATGTGAGTGCACGTCTAACACATGAACCGGGTGGAATCTGTGACCTAAGAGGATTTGCTGGGAGAGCCCGACCTGCTGACTACATGCCTCCAGCTCCAAGTCACGTGACTATGCCTGTCCCACAGGAGCCCCGTAAGCCCCTGCCCCCACAACTCATGTAGCTGCCTCCCTGTGCCCAGTCCTGACTCCTGCCCCAGCCACCTCCAGCCCCCTCTCCACCAAGTACATCACTAAGTTCTGGGGATCCAAACCCTTAAATACTACAGATTTCCCTGCACCGCTACTGGAGGGTTAGACCCATGGGTCATAGAATTTGATTGTAGAATCTGACGTTGAGGAATTTAAGAACTTTCAAAGCGCAGTAAGCTTGAAAGCCAATGTAAATACATTTATAGTCACTAATATAAAGCAACAAAACTCCACATCATCAACGGCATGGATACATTTTTAATTAGCAATGCTGTTTGCAGGGAGATTTATTTCCATGTATTTTCCTTGCTTGCCAGGGAATTCTCTAGCGCTCCACCTTGCCCAGGCTCAGTGAGCTGCTCTGACCCTCATTTTGCTTGACTGCAGCTCTGCTTACCGCAGTTCATCCCTGCATCTGATGTCCTGTCGGGACTTTCTGACTGCGGGATTGAGTTGCTAACCTCTACAATGGCTCTGTGGCCCCAGCGAGGCTATATGGCATGACTATTGGAGATACATTGGAATATTTCCTTGAAGACTGCAGAATGGGCATTTCTCAAGCCCTCCATGTTTTCAGTCTGCAGCCCCTGTCCCCAACCCCTCTCACCTATACCTCTGTACCCTCTCTCCTCAGGATCTGAGATTTGAGATCCTTTCCATCTCCCAAGGCTTTCAGTACAAAAATATGTATTTTTATTCGCCTTGTTTTCAAAAAATTACTCGCAGGAGCAACTCCTATTTTACAAGTACCAGAAGTGAAATTCTCCCAGATTGAGAAGAAAAGGTGTCTGCACTGGTATGACGCCCTTGGTTGGAAAGAGAGCTGCATGGTCACAAATCCTTCTCATCCTCTCCTTGGCTGCCCTGCTCATGCTGTCTCTCCCAGACATGGGCACACCATCCTTGCTCTCTCTCTCTCTCTCAGGTCTTTCTCAGCTGCAGTCTGTCCTCTGCAGGGCAGCCTGAATGTTCACTCCACCCACACCCTGACCTATCCTCCCCAGCTCACACTCTCCCGAGTCTCCACGTCCCTCCATTGCAGCAGCCCTCCATACTGTCTCTGTCCCAGCAAGCCTGAGGGACACACCCACAGCAGCCACTCTCATCAATCCAAGGCCAGTGCATGCAGAGGGGAAGAAGGATGTGCAGGTTTCCCAGTGGAAGGAGTGGCCAGATCTCTTGGGGTCACGTGAACTTTGAAACGCCCCCGTCTCAATAATTTCTACACTATTTTCCCATCTCATAACTCCAGACCCCAGGGTGACAACCACATGTTCCAAATTCTTCACCACAGTCTACAACATCCTTCCTGCCCTGACCCATCCCGTCCCTCACCCTGGAGCCTCCACCCTCCCAGGGCCTTAGACTCCCTGAGCCAGTGCCTGGGTCAGCACCCAGCATAGAGTAGGCATTCTGTAAGTGGAAGCTATTTCTATAGTATTATGAATAGAATAACCCCTGTGGACGTGAGTGGATGGCTATTCAGGGGCCAGGGGCCATGCTATGTGTTTTATATCCATTACCTGCCAATAGCCTTCCATATGTCTCATTACTCCCACTTGACAAATGGAGAAACTGAGGCTCAGAGAAGTGAAATCTACTTCATGGCAGAGACAGCCTCAAATGTGAGTCTGTCTACTTCCACGTCTATGCTCCTTCCATTAAGCATGATAACCCACACTGGTTGGGAGCTGTGTTAATTCCAGGCAAGGTGCAAGTGTCTTTTTTTTTTTTTGAGACGGAGTCTCACTCTATCACCAGGCTGGAGTGCAGTGGTGCGATCTCAGCTCACTGCAATCTCCAACTCCTGGGTTCAAGACACTCTCCTGCCTCAGCCTCCTGAGTAGCTGGGATTACAGGTACATGCCACCACACACAGCTAATTTTTGTATTGGGGTTTTACCACGTTGGCCAGGATGGTCTCCATCTCCTGACCTCATGTTCTGCCCACCTCGGCCTCCCAAAGTGCTGGGATCACAGGCGTGAGCCAACACAGCCGGCTGGTACAAGTGTCTTTTACACATCAACTTATTTTGGACAGCAGCTTATGAAGTGAATGTTATTATCATTCCTCATTAATAGGTTGAGAAAGGCAGAGAGAGGCTACATAACTTCAAGACACACAGCTTAGTAGGTTATTTGACCTCATAAGCACTGACTCTGTGTCCTGTTCTTGTAACTCTGTATAGTCTAAGGTTTAAATTAAAGCTAAGTATTATTTGTTTCCTTACATCTGTCAAAATCAGGAGGGCCTCAGATGGCATCACCACAAACTCACCTCCCCAGTCTGCTCCTGCAGAGAAGGTCCCCCAGCCAAGCAACCCTCCTTATCAAGGGACCAGGCAGATACTGCTTATCCTTGAGTAGTGAGTTTCATTCCCTGCCAGCCGGTGGAATTACTCAAATAAGCCAGTTGCATCCTCCCACAGGAACCGAGAGACATTGCAGTCTCTTGTTACTACAAAGCCTGCCTCCCACAGCCCCTGGTTATTCACTCTGTCCTTAAATGGCCTGCGTGGCATGGTGTCCTCCTCCCTTGGGCTGTGGGTATATGTTAGGAATAGGCTGCTGTCGATCGCATCTGTCCACTGTCAGGTGTTGTGTGTTTAGCCACATTCCAAATCCTAGGGAGAGAACCCTCCCTCACCAACAGGGTAAACAGGAGGCAATTAAAGCTCTAAGGAGGCTGAGGTTGGGGGATCACTTGAGCTCAGGAGTTCTAGACCAGCCTGGGCAACATGGCAAAACACCATCTCTACAAAAAATACAAATATTAGCCAGGCGTGGTGGTGCACACCTATAGTCCAAGCTACTTGGGGGGCTAAGGCAGAAGGATTGCTCAAACGCAGGAGGTCGAGACTGCAGTGAGCTGAGATTGCATCACTGCACTCCAGCCTGGGTGACAAAGTGAGACCCTGTCAAAAAAAAATAAATAAATAAAAATAAAGATAAAAAAGCTCTGGGAAGGACCAGACCAGGGAGTGAAAGTCAAAAAATTCAGAGTTAAATTTGAACAAAATACGCATAAATGAAGCCTCGTGCTCACTATTCATTCCTTCACGTCATGTATTTATTGAGCACCTGCTATGTCAAACATTGGGAATAGGACCTGGGATCCAACAACGAACGTAACAGGCAAGTACCCTGACCACAAGGAGCTTCCATTCTGATAAGGGGGTGGGGTAGTAAACAGGAAAACAAATAAATAGGAGCCTTGATTTCAGATTGTGCTGGATCTTTGCAGGCTCTTCCCTCTGCCAAGTCCAGGTTCTAATTGAAGATTCCTAGTTAGAATTATAGAACCACAGAAGTCTAGTATGACTTCCAGTTGGACCACCATCTTTACTGACTTCAACTAATAGAAAAATTCTGAACGGCAGTACTGACAAGGGCAAGTTTGCCTTCTTCCCTGTGTTTTGTTCCAGAGCCTCCATCTATATCTTAGCTTCTATTTTCGCCCTTGCGAGGGCCCATTCCCCACCTTGGTTGGGCCCATTCCCTCTGTTCCGCCATACTGGGGTTCTTCCTCTTCTATTTATCCCAATACCATCTCGCCCTGTAGTCACTGCTGCCCTCTCCCTGCCCCAGGCCTCCCCATCACTTCACTGCTGACCCCTCAGCAGGGGAGTGTGTTTTTGTGAGCACAGTCCGCTCTGACAGCTCCTCCAGGAAGGGGCACTCCTGCCCTGAATCCACGGCAGGGCCACCATGAGTCTGCAGTGGGAGTCCACGCACTGTGGTTTGAGGAATGGGGAGAAGTCATTTCTGACCACAAAGATCTTCCCCATCAACTCTTTAGAGAGCACAAATGCCATTATTTTGGAGGAATTCTTTTGGATTTTTACTTATAACATTCCTTAAGTGAAAAAGTGCCTGAGTAGTACTGCCTAATTCAACGATTTACCCTCAAATTCCAATTTTTATGTGCAAAATCAGAGAATTTCAGAGCTATGGGGAGCGCCCCCCTCTAGCCACCATGCAGGGAACTTTAAAGCATTATCTTGGGGGAAAGAAAATGGGTCAGGTCAATGCAGAGTGAAACTCCTGCTGTCAAAGGCTTTGGTTTTCTAACAAATATCTCCCAAAAATTGAGTTACAACACTTAGTGGCCTTTCTGTGTTGTGTATTGTGGTTTGATGGGAGCAGCCCCCAAGAGATGTCCACTTGAGACCTGTGAGTGTGACCTTATTTGGAGAAAGGGTCTTTGCAGGTGTGATGAAGATAAACATCTTGAGATAATGTCATCCTGGACTATCCAAGTGGGCTCTAGATCCAGTGATACGTTTCCCTATAAGAGGAGGGTGGAGGGCAATTTCAGACACAGGCATTGAGGAGCAGGCAATAGGAAAAGGAGGCCAACACCTATAAGAGAAGGGTGGAGGGCAATTTCAGACACAGGCATTGAGGAGAAAGCAATAGGAAAAGGAGGCCAACACCTATAAGAGAAGGGTGGAGGGCAATTTCAGACACAGGCATTGAGGAGAAGGCAATAGGAAAAGGAGGCCAACACCTATAAGAGAAGGGTGGAGGGCAATTTCAGACACAGGCATTGAGGAGAAGGCAATAGGAAAAGGAGGCCAACACCTATGGCAATTTCAGACACAGGCATTGAGGAGAAAGCAATAGGAAAAGGAGGCCAACACCTATAAGAGAAGGGTGGAGGGCAATTTCAGACACAGGCATTGAGGAGAAAGCAATAGGAAAAGGAGGCCAACACCTATAAGAGAAGGGTGGAGGGCAATTTCAGACACAGGCATAGAGGAGAAGGCAATAGGAAAAGGAGGCCAACACCTATAAGAGAAGGGTGGAGGGCAATTTCAGACACAGGCATAGAGGAGCAGGCAATAGGAAAAGGAGGCCAACACCTATAAGAGAAGGGTGGAGGGCAATTTCAGACACAGGCATTGAGGAGCAGGCAATAGGAAAAGGAGGCCAACACCTATGGCAATTTCAGACACAGGCATAGAGGAGAAGGCAATAGGAAAAGGAGGCCAACACCTATAAGAGAAGGGTGGAGGGCAATTTCAGACACAGGCATAGAGGAGAAGGCAATAGGAAAAGGAGGCCAACACCTATAAGAGAAGGGTGGAGGGCAATTTCAGACACAGGCATTGAGGAGAAAGCAATAGGAAAAGGAGGCCAACACCTATAAGAGAAGGGTGGAGGGCAATTTCAGACACAGGCATAGAGGAGAAGGCAATAGGAAAAGGAGGCCAACACCTATAAGAGAAGGGTGGAGGGCAATTTCAGACACAGGCATAGAGGAGAAGGCAATAGGAAAAGGAGGCCAACACCTATAAGAGAAGGGTGGAGGGCAATTTCAGACACAGGCATTGAGGAGAAAGCAATAGGAAAAGGAGGCCAACACCTATAAGAGAAGGGTGGAGGGCAATTTCAGACACAGGCATTGAGGAGAAGGCAATAGGAAAAGGAGGCCAACACCTATAAGAGAAGGGTGGAGGGCAATTTCAGACACAGGCATTGAGGAGAAAGCAATAGGAAAAGGAGGCCAACACCTATAAGAGAAGGGTGGAGGGCAATTTCAGACACAGGCATTGAGGAGAAGGCAATAGGAAAAGGAGGCCAACACCTATGGCAATTTCAGACACAGGCATAGAGGAGAAGGCAATAGGAAAAGGAGGCCAACACCTATAAGAGAAGGGTGGAGGGCAATTTCAGACACAGGCATTGAGGAGAAGGCAATAGGAAAAGGAGGCCAACACCTATAAGAGAAGGGTGGAGGGCAATTTCAGACACAGGCATAGAGGAGAAGGCAATAGGAAAAGGAGGCCAACACCTATAAGAGAAGGGTGGAGGGCAATTTCAGACACAGGCATTGAGGAGCAGGCAATAGGAAAAGGAGGCCAACACCTATAAGAGAAGGGTGGAGGGCAATTTCAGACACAGGCATTGAGGAGCAGGCAATAGGAAAAGGAGGCCAACACCTATAAGAGAAGGGTGGAGGGCAATTTCAGACACAGGCATAGAGGAGAAGGCAATAGGAAAAGGAGGCCAACACCTATAAGAGAAGGGTGGAGGGCAATTTCAGACACAGGCATTGAGGAGCAGGCAATAGGAAAAGGAGGCCAACACCTATAAGAGAAGGGTGGAGGGCAATTTCAGACACAAGCATTGAGGAGCAGGCAATAGGAAAAGGAGGCCAACACCTATAAGAGAAGGGTGGAGGGCAATTTCAGACACAGGCATTGAGGAGAAGGCAATAGGAAAAGGAGGCCAACACCTATAAGAGAAGGGTGGAGGGCAATTTCAGACACAGGCATTGAGGAGAAAGCAATAGGAAAAGGAGGCCAACACCTATAAGAGAAGGGTGGAGGGCAATTTCAGACACAGGCATTGAGGAGAAGGCAATAGGAAAAGGAGGCCAACACCTATGGCAATTTCAGACACAGGCATAGAGGAGAAGGCAATAGGAAAAGGAGGCCAACACCTATAAGAGAAGGGTGGAGGGCAATTTCAGACACAGGCATTGAGGAGAAGGCAATAGGAAAAGGAGGCCAACACCTATAAGAGAAGGGTGGAGGGCAATTTCAGACACAGGCATAGAGGAGAAGGCAATAGGAAAAGGAGGCCAACACCTATAAGAGAAGGGTGGAGGGCAATTTCAGACACAGGCATTGAGGAGCAGGCAATAGGAAAAGGAGGCCAACACCTATAAGAGAAGGGTGGAGGGCAATTTCAGACACAGGCATTGAGGAGCAGGCAATAGGAAAAGGAGGCCAACACCTATAAGAGAAGGGTGGAGGGCAATTTCAGACACAGGCATAGAGGAGAAGGCAATAGGAAAAGGAGGCCAACACCTATAAGAGAAGGGTGGAGGGCAATTTCAGACACAGGCATAGAGGAGCAGGCAATAGGAAAAGGAGGCCAACACCTATAAGAGAAGGGTGGAGGGCAATTTCAGACACAGGCATTGAGGAGCAGGCAATAGGAAAAGGAGGCCAACACCTATAAGAGAAGGGTGGAGGGCAATTTCAGACACAGGCATAGAGGAGAAGGCAATAGGAAAAGGAGGCCAACACCTATAAGAGAAGGGTGGAGGGCAATTTCAGACACAGGCATTGAGGAGCAGGCAATAGGAAAAGGAGGCCAACACCTATAAGAGAAGGGTGGAGGGCAATTTCAGACACAGGCATTGAGGAGAAGGCAATAGGAAAAGGAGGCCAACACCTAAAAGAGAAGGGTGGAGGGCAATTTCAGACACAGGCATAGAGGAGCAGGCAATAGGAAAAGGAGGCCAACACCTATAAGAGAAGGGTGGAGGGCAATTTCAGACACAGGCATTGAGGAGCAGGCAATAGGAAAAGGAGGCCAACACCTATAAGAGAAGGGTGGAGGGCAATTTCAGACACAGGCATTGAGGAGAAAGCAATAGGAAAAGGAGGCCAACACCTATAAGAGAAGGGTGGAGGGCAATTTCAGACACAGGCATTGAGGAGAAAGCAATAGGAAAAGGAGGCCAACACCTATAAGAGAAGGGTGGAGGGCAATTTCAGACACAGGCATTGAGGAGAAAGCAATAGGAAAAGGAGGCCAACACCTATAAGAGAAGGGTGGAGGGCAATTTCAGACACAGGCATAGAGGAGAAGGCAATAGGAAAAGGAGGCCAACACCTATAAGAGAAGGGTGGAGGGCAATTTCAGACACAGGCATTGAGGAGCAGGCAATAGGAAAAGGAGGCCAACACCTATAAGAGAAGGGTGGAGGGCAATTTCAGACACAGGCATTGAGGAGAAAGCAATAGGAAAAGGAGGCCAACACCTATAAGAGAAGGGTGGAGGGCAATTTCAGACACAGGCATTGAGGAGAAAGCAATAGGAAAAGGAGGCCAACACCTATAAGAGAAGGGTGGAGGGCAATTTCAGACACAGGCATTGAGGAGAAAGCAATAGGAAAAGGAGGCCAACACCTATAAGAGAAGGGTGGAGGGCAATTTCAGACACAGGCATAGAGGAGAAGGCAATAGGAAAAGGAGGCCACCACCTATGGCAATTTCAGACACAGGCATAGAGGAGAAGGCAATAGGAAAAGGAGGCCAACACCTATAAGAGAAGGGTGGAGGGCAATTTCAGACACAGGCATAGAGGAGAAGGCAATAGGAAAAGGAGGCCACCACCTATGGCAATTTCAGACACAGGCATAGAGGAGAAGGCAATAGGAAAAGGAGGCCAACACCTATAAGAGAAGGGTGGAGGGCAATTTCAGACACAGGCATAGAGGAGAAAGCAATAGGAAAAGGAGGCCAACACCTATGGCAATTTCAGACACAGGCATTGAGGAGAAGGCAATAGGAAAAGGAGGCCAACACCTATGGCAATTTCAGACACAGGCATAGAGGAGAAGGCAATAGGAAAAAGAGGCCAACAATGGAAAGATGTGTCCACAACCCAAGGAGTGTGAAGGCCACCAGCCACACCAGAAGCCTGACACGCCTCCTGCTCTGGAGCCTTCAGAGGGCATGAGGCCCTGCCAAAAACTTGATTTTGAACTTCTGGCCTCCAGAATTGTGAAAATAAATGTGTGTTGTTTTACGTCCCTGGTTTGTGGAAATTTGTGACGACAGCCCCAGGAAACTCACACGTGGGTGGTGGAGAAGACACCCCTGACCACCACCACCTTCCAATCAACTCTCTAGGAAGCCCACATGCCATCATTTGACACAGATTTTTGCAAATTGTGAAGAGTTTTCAGTTTTTAGAAGTTACATATTAAAAGGTGGCATCCTAAGCTGTTGAGAAATTTGGTGGTTATTAATTTTCTAAACCTGGTAGTGAGCAAAATATCAAGAACCTATAGTCATGAGATTTCACTTAGTTGCCTACAAGGGAGATGAGTCCAAGGTGGAAGTCAGGGCTCTGAAGAGGCAGCAACAAAGATCAACAAAGGTCACCTACTGGACATTTTCGTATCTCACACACACACACACACACACACACACACTCTTAATAAAACAAATTATTTTAAAACCAAAACTATGCTTTCCATTTTCCCCAAGAGCCAAACATGCCTTGATGATTGTTACGTAGTTTTAGCGACTCACACAAGCTATGACTCTTTAATATGCAACTGATGCACTGAGCACAGATGCAAGCTCCCTGGGAGATATTTATGGAGGCCGCCGTTAGGTTTACCTAATTAGATGTTCCAGAATGCAGATTTCCTACTTACAGTATGCCTGTTTTCTGTGAAAGCACCCCACAAATTCAGTTCAGCAGACACTTTTGTTTATCCACAGATCATCAACAGAAGTTAGCTGAAATAATTTAAAGAGGCAGTTACATGCTTCTGGCAAAAAGTAAAAACTGTAAAAATCAGCATTTCATGGTTCTTAGCTAGCTTGAGCCAAAAATATGCTGGGCTGCAGTCCGAAGTCTGATTTCCTTCCGTCTGAAGTTGACTGGGCGTGCTTTGAGCAGCAGCAGGACCGCAGGGAAGGACTCGTGGGTCAGAACTTTGGGTGGCGGGGCCAAGCACCAAGAGCGGTTTCCTCTACCTGCCTCTGTAGGCCACCCCAGGGGAGACAGATGCAGGGCGGAGGAGAAGCTGACCTTCCTGGGAGAGGTGATACATGTGTCTGGAATGGCTCCAGGCTAGTGGTGGCCATTAACAGGGGACATTCCATAGTCCATACCTTTGCCAGACATGGGATTGCATGGGAAACCTCAGGCCACCTGCACTCACGTATGCCTGATATATTTAAGACAAATCAGAAGTCCGGGAAATCAGAGGTGGGTAACAGACCCATCACCAAATGGAACATTCTAGAAGCCCTACAGAGCCAAACATACTATTGGATAAAAATGGACACACTAAACAAAAACAAACTGAATGTTTGCACAGATATTGGTGACTGAAAGGAACAGAAAACCTCCCATCCAAAGAGATGCTTGGAAATAAGCTCATAGACACGGCTGCTGAGAAGCTGTGATGTCCAGGAAATTGGGGAACTGGATGGGCGTCTGCAACATGAAAGGCTTCCAGTCAGGTGAGGTCTACTTAGAGTCCAATGAAACACCTGCAGGCTCACACCTTCTCAATGATTCTTCTGTTTGCCTTAGCAAGACCAAAGGACAAGTGTTCTCTTGCATTTACCCTCGACTTCTGTGACAACTCAGCACACAGACTCCAGCATCAAGACTCAGTAGCAAAATGGATTTTCCCTGGCCGGCAACGTAGGACCCAGCGTTATCCTTCTGCATCTCTGGGAACTCTTTGTAAGCCTTTGTGCTTCCTGAAGCTAATCTGTCACTCAGGGCAAAGGCCTTGACCTATAGAGAATTAACTTCCATGTCAAAGCCTCAGAGATGCTGGGGGTGGTAGAGATATTAAAAGATGGGGCAAATACTTTGCTAACAAAAAAAAATGAAAATCCCTCTGTTATTGTTAGAAAGGAAGAAATCACAGCTTTCAACTCTTTAAATGAAAATTTGTTTGACAAACTAACTTTGAACTTGATTTTTTCAGAGGAGCTTGCTGCAACATCAATTAACAAAGTCGTCAGCCCTGATTGTGCCAGTCTGCAGCAAAGGTCTCCACTTAAAAGGCTTTCTCAGCATTTCAAATATTTTGTTTGTACCAGATAAAAGCTGCTTTAGAACACAAAGGTCAGAGTTTCCATGATTTATCTTTTAAAAGCAGGCATGCTGGATGTCTTTTAAATGAAGTCATCCTGGATAAACTGCATACACACACACGAAAATTCAGTGGCTAATTGATGATGGTGATTTGGGGAGGACCCTCTCCCTGAATCACTTTGGGACACAATTGGTAAAAAGCTGCCATCTTTGATCATGGCAAGGAAAATCTATTTCAGTTTCCTCCTCGTATAACAGCAATCATTTTTTTTCCTATGTACTCTTTAATCTTCACAGCAAACCTAGGAAATAGACATTGCTTTCTCCCATTCTACAAAGAAAACAACGAGACTTGGAGATATTTATTTACTTAATTTGTTGCTGATGCAAGACTTGAAACTAGACTCTTTCAGCTCTACTCTGGGCATTTTAGACACATAATTCCTCATTAAACCACTGGAATTGTCCCCATGTGCTGAAGTTAGGTTTAGTGCACAGTCATTTGACTCAGCATAACTAACTGTTCATTATCAAATAACAAAAAAAAGAAAAGAATTAAGAATAAAAATTAGTCTTTGGTCTCAAGGAGTTCAAAGCACTTCGTTTTTAAAAAAATTTTATTTTTATTTATTTATTTTAGAGACAAGATCTTGCTCTGTCTTCCAGGCTAGAGTGCAGTGGCACATTCATAGCTCACTGCAGCCTCAAACTCCTGGGCTCAAGCGATACTCCTGCCTCAGCCTCCCAAGTAGCTAGTACTACAGGTGCATATCACTATGCCTAGCTAACATTTTTTTTTTTTTATGTAGATGGGGTCTAGCTATGTTGCCCAGGCTGGTCTCAAACTCCTGGTCTCAAGTGATCTTCCAGCCTCAGTCTCCCAAAGTGTTGGGATTATAGGTATGAACCACTGTGCTTGCCCTCAAAGCACCTTAGAAGATTAGGGCTCCTTAATGCTCCTTGAATTATCTTCTTTATCATTTGAGTAGAAAATGGTGCTGAAAATGTGTGCAACTAGGCTAAAGATGAGGTAGTTAGTTCACAGTATCTAGTGTGAGCTGTGGAGTCAGTCAGAGCTGGGTTCAAGCCTAAATTCCAAACCTCAATTTTCTGATTTGAAAATTAATATGATAATAATAGTCACTATTTCAAAGAGTTCAAAGAGTTGTGAGAATTAAAAGTGTTAATGCCTGGGAAATAATGCACTTAAGGCATTTAGCTCAGTGCCCAACTTGTATGTATTTAATGAATCCTAGTTACAGTGGTTAGCTGTCACCATGAAAGATTCACTCATTTGGCCTTGCAAGCTTTAAGATCTTTGAGCATCTGTGGTATAAATTCAAACAGCTCTGCAGAGCTGGCATTTAAAACACTCTCAGGCTTAACTATGTTAGTGAACATTAGTTGATCACCAGCAAAGAATAATACCCTGTGGCACTGGGAGAGAGGAGTCGGCAGCACAGGGAAAGAAATTTGGGATGGGAAGGAGGCAGGTAAATAGAGTGTTGAAAATGCAAGGACGTGGAGTCAAGGCTAAACTCCCTTGCTTCAAAATTTTACCAAGAACCAGCCCATGGGCAGTTAGTCTTTACTTAAAATTTTAAAAAATCTGGCCAATTTCATACTATTAAAAACGATGATACTAAAATAATAATAATGTAAATAATAACCATTGTTTGTCAAGTGCTTATTACAAGCTCAACTCTGAGCTCAGAGAATTTGATGTTCACATAATTGTTGCCGAATACCAGGGGTTCAGCCTAGGTCTGGATGCTCACCACACAGAAAGCCAGTCACTGAGACAAGTATTGCCAGGGAAGAAAGGCTTTATTGCAGGTGACGGCAGCCAGAAGATGGGAGGCAAGTCTCAAATCCATCTCTATAACCAAGTAAAATTCGGGGTTTGTATACCAGAGAATTAGGGAGGGGTAAGGAAGAGCAGTTAGTAAAGAGGCAGCAGGTGCGTCTGATTGTCCGGTTGTGGTGATCTGGGAAGTTTCAGTTCCTTGATGTGATCTGGGAGGCCTGATGGTTAGTTTCCTGAGAAGGTAACTCAGGTGAAACAAATGCAAGTTGCTCAAGCTTCAGTTCTATAGGAAAATTGGGCCGGTTTTGTAATTTTGCTTGCCTTGGTGTAATGCTCCTTTCTTTTCAGTAAAACTACATTTCTTCATGACTCTGTTGCACACAGCAGTGAAAATCAGTGGGGGTTTTGCTCACTCAGATTCAGAACATGGTTCTTACTTTGAGGGAGTCACCCCATTGTGTGACTTGCGGTGGAAGGCATAGCGGCAGTGCCACCTTGACTGCTACTGCGTGGGCCTGGGACTGCCACTCTGCCAAAGAGAAGCTCCTGCCCCAGCCTTCACATTCAGGAGGGTGACCCAGAGATGCTGGGATAGTGTGGTGGCTGCCACATGGAGGCAGATGTCCAGGGGCCTCTGCCCCCAGGATGTATCAGCATGGGCATTAAGCAACCAGTGGTAGCCACAGTGCCAACAACGAGGCCCAGGCTGGCAGGTTCTGGGCTTCATCGCTGTGCTACACCTGCCTTGGATACTGCCCTTCCTCTGTACCACATTCTCCAGCCTTCTCTTTGGTTCTAGAAACTTCCAGTGCATTCCTCCCTACTGCAGTTGGCAGAGGCTGTTTTGCATTCACCCTACACCCTCTGACAAGGTGCTCACCTACAAAACAGCCCCCAAGGTCAGGAATCAGATGGACATGGTAATATCTGGGCCAGCAATGCTGAGTGGTTTAAGCCACATGGACAAGTGTACCCCTCAGACTTGGCAACTATTTTACATTTTATATAAGCATCTATATTCCTACCTTGTATTCATTCATTCAACAAATATTATTGGGAGCCACCTCTACACTAGTTATTTAAGATGGTATGTCTTTGAACAAAGAAATAGGGTCCGGGATTTGTGTAGGTCTTAATCAGCAATTAAAAGATATGCCATATTTCATAGAACCAGATTTTTCTGAGACAAATTGAAACTTCATTCAAGGACACACAGGACTAACTATAATTATGATGCAGCTAGATCCTCATTCTAAGTCTGGGCTTCAAAAGTTTTATTTTTCAAAGCATAATTATAATAATTGATCTAAGTGACAAAATAGATGGGTTTTGGCTTTGTAATCAAACCACAGAAAAGGGCTTATGAATAGAGAGGTGCAAATGCATTAAGCCCTGGCCTTAGTAGATGTGAAAACATTCAAGTAGAACAGTGCCAGCCAGAGATCACCAAGAATTTCTGTTCCTATATGAAGAAACTAATGCTTGTGAATATTCCTTATCTTGTCCCAGTCATCAGGTTTGAGGAAAATTTGAAAATGTCCTTCAGTTTCATTCAATTTTCTTTTTTTTAGTGTGGTGGACAGTGATCCACCAGCTGAAATGGACAAAATGTTTTTGTCCCCTCCCCACTGCATTCAGATATCAGAATCCTAACTTCCAAGATGATGGTATTGGAGGTGGGGCCACTGGAGGTGATTAGGTCATGGGGGTGGAGCCCTCATGAATGGGATTAGTGCCCTTATAAAATAGGCCCAAAGTGACTCCTTACCCCTTCCACCATGTGAGGACACAAAAAGAAGATACCATCCATGAACCAGGAAATGAGCCCTCACCAGACACCAAATTGAGACTTTCCAGCCTCCAGAACCACCATGAGAAATGAATTACTGTTGCTTGTAAGCCACCCAGTGTATGGTATTTTGTTATAGGAGCCCAAATGGATTAAGACACCAGTGAAAGCAAGATGACTAAGATGCAGAGACAGTGATGGAGGAAGTTCTGGTCCCAGTGAACAGAACACACAGGCAATCTCATCAGTGCAAAGCTGTAATTGTTTGCTATTGTAGACATACAGCCATTAATGAATTGACTCAGCGTTTCATACCCAGTGACTCTTTGTGCCTGTGGTGCGCCCCCTGTGTCAGGTGGCAGCTAAGGCACTGCAGGGTCCCCTCCTGGAGAAAAGATGACATGCAGAACCAGGGCAGCAAGGCTCAACTTTTGAGCTTATAAATAACCTTTGAAACTCATTGGAGAAGCCACAGTTTACAAGAAAAGCTATTTGAGTCACAGAAACCATGATTTGGAGGGGCTGGGGAAAATACATTTTACACCCTAAACAATAGATTTGGAAGAACATAGGATAAAGGGAGAGCCAGGTTTTTCTGCCCCATGCCAGAACTCTCAGATGTCCCTGGCCTTTGGGTGAAGGAGTACAAGAAAGGAAGTCTGACAGTTAGGGGTCAGTGGGTGTGCTGAGAAGGAACCCTATGCCCAGGCTGGTTCTCGTCCTCTGGAGGGAAGCCATGCAGGAATGATAGATTTCCCCGCTCCCCTCCTGGATGAGTTTGAGGATCTAAGAACAGAGGTGACCTGTGCCTTACTTCCCAGCTGGGGACTGATTCCTCAGCTTTCCGTCTACCCTGTGATGGTTAATGTTACATGTTGACTTGGCTGGGCCCTGTCTTGTCGATACTGGCTGGTGCCAGTTTTGTGGTCAAATACCAGCCTAGAAGTTGCTGTGAAGGTATTTTGTAATTGTGATCAACATTTAAATCAGTAGATTTCAAATAAAGCATATGGCCCTCCATGCTTTGGGGAGGCCTCCTCCAATCGGTTAACAGCCTTAAAAGACTGAAGTTTCCCAAATAGGAAGGTATTCTCCTCAAGACTACAACACAAAATTCCGGCCTGAGCTTCCAGCCTACTGCTCTGTAGAACTCAATCCTGAGACTGTGACATCAGCACTCACCTGGATATCTGGCCTCCCAGCCTGCCCTGCAGATTTTAGCCTTCCCAGAACCCACAATCACATGATCCAATTCCTTAAAAATAAATTTATCTGTGTATGTCTACATGTACATAAAGATAGAAATAGAAAGAGACAGATACAGACATAGACATTGATATAGACCAATGTATGTATCCTAGTGGCTCTGTTTCTCTGAAGACCCCTGACTAATATGAGGGAGGAATAAGTTTCCCCCTCCCCTCCTGGCGGAGTTTGAGGGTCCAAGAAAAGAAGTGACCTGTGCCTTACTTCCCAGCTGGGGACCGATTCTTCAGCTTTCCACCCACCCTGGTGTTTTGATGCAGGAGAGCAGAAGTGACAGCTGGGACAGCCCCACAGTTCCCCAAAGCATAGAAGAGTGTCCCTTCCTCACTGAGAACTGCTCAGCAGGTGCTGAAGTGGAGGACAAGGAGATCTGCTGAGGGCTCAAGCTCAGGACAAAGCAGACATAGAGAGCTCCGAGTGGACCAATAATCCCTGATCAAATAGGAACATGGGAGTCTCAGAGTTTGCAGGAATGGACTGTGACCTCAAAGGACATGATGCCCAATCCCACCCAGGCTGTGGCACTTTCTGAACCCACCACCCTTGAATTTAGACACCACCAGAGGGAGAAGAGACCCTGAAGTGCCAGAGGAAACTCTGAATTGGTTGTGCTTATGTTTAATTAATTGACCCCACCATCCAGTAAGGGTTAGAATATAAACATGAAAACAAGGTTGAATTTTTGGTTCCTTGTGTTTGAAGACTGAGATCCATCCTCTCTGCAGAATTGTGAGCACAAAGATGGTAAATTATCCCTTGATAATGGTTTGGCTGTGTCCCCACCCAAATCTCATCTTGAATTATAACTCCCATAATTCCCATGTGTCATGGAGGAACCCGGTGGGAGGTGGTTGAATTATGGGGGTGAGTCTTCCCTGGGCTGTTCTTGTGATAGTGAAATGAGTCTCACAAGATCTGATGATTTTTAAAATGGGAGTTTTTCTGCACAAGCTCTCTCTTTTTGCCTGCTGCCATCCATGTAAGATGTGATTTGCTCCTCCTTGCCTTCCACCATGATTGTGAGGCCTCCCCAGCCATGTGGAACTGTAAGTCCAATAAACTTCTTTATTTTGTAAATTGCCCAGTCTCAGGTATGTTTTTATCAGCAGCCTGAAAACAGACTAATACATCCATCTTCACTCAGAAAAGTTATAAAATACTCTTTGTCTTAAGTCATTGTGTTTTTAAATCTGGAGTCTATAAATTCGCGGAGATCCTTCAACTCCTATGATGACATTTATATTATATAACATGTGTTATTTCCTTGATGTCAACTCTCTAAAGCCCAAGATTATTCTGAATGGCTGGATGCTCATGTTCACCTCAGGATTTCTGATGTTATGAGACTAGCTGACCGCCAAAAATGGCAGCATTTAACTCTAGCATTTCCCTTGAGGATCCATAAAAAGGATTTTCCTCTTTCAAAGGAGTTTCTACAATACTTGAGTTTGAGAAACACTCTTGTAATAAAGAGCATAGAAGACCTCGGTCTAAAAACATGATCAATCCTGGCTCCATCATTCTTTCCTCTGGTGGGTTATTTTACTTCTAGTGATCATTTTGGATATTAAATAAATTAAAATATAAAATACAATGTGTGCTGTAAATAATGAGATTATGTAGAATTGTAATATCCCTTGTAATCCAATCCCAGCACTGCAGAATGAGATGTTCTGGAGTTCTTAATTGCAATTTGCCGTGTGTGTGTGTGTGTGTGCATGTGTGTGCTTGTGTGTGAGTGCAGATTTTAAAAAGGCAAGGGAAACTCAGTGTCTAATAAAATCATAACCATGGAAGTTCATTCCTTTCCTTTAGCAAAACAAGCAAGCACCACCTATTTTGTGCATTGAGTATAAATCAGTTTATATAAACTGGGATTGCTATTTTGGAAAAGACAATTCATTAATTTAGGAATCCAAATGAAAATGAGTTCAAGCAGCTGGTGGGGGTGCAGGGTGTGGAGTGAGGAATTGATTATCTCTCTCTTCTCTATTCTTAAAGGATCTTGATTCTGGCTTCTGGCCTAGGGCACTGAGCATGTCAGAACCACTGGGGAACAGGATGATTACTCTATTAAATTGAGCGCAAAATCAATCAACAATATATCATTAAAATAAAAATGCAGCTTCTAAATGTAATTTAGCTCCCCAGTGATGGGCTTTTGTTGGAAGCACAGAAAATCTACTCTAAAATGCCTGGAAGGTTCCTAGCCAGAGGCAGAAAAGAGACCATCATTAAAAGCAATAGAAATCTTTAAGAAGTCATGCAAGAAGGATATTGAATGTGTTTTCCCCCAAATCTTGTGAATACTCTAGTCTTTGCTAATAGAGTAGGAACCATTGCCTTCTTCACAAGGTATTTAAACATACTTGTTTCAAAACAAGGTATGAATGAGAGATAATGAGACTATGACAGAATTTATATCTCAAAATGAGTTTGACTCTGAAAGTAATGTTTCAGTGATGCTGAAACACATAAGGGCATATTGAAATGGCTTTCGGAGCTCGTTTATAAATAATCCAGGCTTTATAAAAAATTTCATAAGAAATACAGGCTTAATTATTTATTTAAATCCTGTATTTAACTAGCAGAAAAGGCCTAGGACTAACCCCCTTTGTTCAACTCTGAATGATTTCAGACAATTCTCAATTTGGTTCTCAACTCTGACCTGTTTGTTCCCATTTGGACATTTCAAAATGTCCAATCATTTTGAAATCATCTGGACATTTCAAAAACTCAAATTCACCATCAAAGAGCAGGAATTTGCCAGCAGTGAGAAGAATGTGCCTGTCTTTGAAAGAACTTTTTTGTTTACCACTATATGCTTAGTGCCCAGATCATATTATCTGTTAAATAAATGGCCATACTTGCTTGTAATGGTTTGGGTGTACACTTTAAGCCATGTGACTATCAATATGCTTGCTTTTTTTCATAAATATGCTGACACTTACACTTTGAAATAAAAATTTTCCACCAACTGGAAAGATAGACATAAATTCCAGTGATGCTGTTGTTGTACAGGATGTTTTTGGAAACCATTTTGTTGGGATTTTTTTTTAACAAGTTCTATAGGGCATTACCAGCCCACAGGAAGGTCTCAGGCATTTAGTGTTACACCACAAATGACAGCAAACAGGAGGTCCAAATGATCCAATGGGCTCTGCACCATTTTAGGGGAGAGGGCCTGGTACATGGAAAGGACTCTGAATTGAGAGAAGACTGAGGGCCATTTGGTAACAGGAGTCCACGCATTAACAATGAAATAAATACTTCCAATCCTGAGGCACATACCAGCCTAGAGAAGCATTTGAAAAAGAGCAGTTAGCCAACAGTGCTCACAAGGGACTTATGAGTTACTCAGGTGACCAGGGAGGCAGGTAAACATATTACTCCAGAAGAGGTGATAAACGCTACCCCCAAGTTGCTGCGGAGCACAGAGGATAGAGAGAGGAATTCTGGAGGAAACACGACAGACCTCAGGGAGGTGCTGGCATTGGAGCTGAATCATAAAGAATGGATAAGATTTTAGTAAGCAAAAAGGAGAAGATAGCACAGCATGTAGAAAAGAAGGGAAGAATGTATTTAATGAGTTTCTTGTCTTCCATTTAATAGACACTTACTGAGTACATCTGATGTGCCAAGTACACGGATCAGAAAACCATGCTACCACTTTGTGAGAGGCTCATAGTCTAGATTGGTTTCTCAACCTTGGCACTGCTGACATTTGGGACTGAGGCATTCCTTGTTGTGGGGCTTCTGCTGCGTATCATTCAATGTTCAGCAACATATCTGGCCTCTACTCACTAGATGCAAGTGGAAGATGCCAAATAGTCACAACAGAAAATGTCTCCATATATTGTCAAATGTCCTTCAGAGAGCAAAATCTCCCCTGGTCAAGAATTACTGCTCTAAGAAACAGGAGAGACAGCTAACGAAAATGCAATGCAGTGATGACTGTCCTGATGGAGGAACACAGGGATCCCAGAGAAAAACTTCCCCCCGCCCCAACTCCAAACCACTCCATGCAGCCTGAGGACCCAGAGGATGCCAGGGGAAAGAGCAATATGACTTGAGTTTTGAAGGCCAAATGGAGGTTATGCAACTTAAATTTCAGGTCAACATATTGTGTTTAGGGTAATAATGAGCCAATTATATGGAGGCATCTGATAAGCACTTGAAATCTGGTTTGTTGCCTGAGAGAAAGGTAAGAGACTACAGGTGAAAATTTGGAAGTCATTCAAATAGAAATGGAAGTGTAAGGCATGAGTTTTAGTGAAATTAGGAGAGAATGTCCAGTAAGAAGAGGAAAAAGAAGAGAAAGTGGAAAAGACCCAGAAAGGTTACATCAAGGGAAATGCTGAAAAAAAGTCCAGAGGGGGAGAATTTTAACAGTAAAAGCAGCTGGATGTTTGGGTGTGAGAAACACTGAGAAGAAGCCTCTCGATTTTGTCATGTAGAAGGCATTTGAGGACCTTACCCAGAACTCTAAGAAGCAAAGTGCCAAGGGGTGTAATAAGTAGGAGATGGGGAGAAAAAGACAGCCCTAACACTGGAGTAAAAGGGGAGGGGGCGAAAGGAGGTGGTGTTAAGGGGCGTCAGAGTTTTAAAAACGTGTTTAGAGGCTGGGTGCGGTAGTTTATGCCTGTAATCCCAGCAGTTTGGGAGGCCGAGGTGGGAGGATTGCTCTCATCCAGGAGTTCGAGACCAGCCTGGGCAACATGATAAAACCCCATCTGTACAAAAAAATACAAAAATTAGCTGGGCACAGTGGTGCATGCCTGTAGTCCCAGCTACTTGGGAGGCTGAGGCAGGAGGATTGCCTGAGCCTGGGAGATTGAGGCTACAGTGAGCCGAGATCACACTACTACACTCCAGCCTAAGCAATAGAGCAAGAGACCCTGTCTCAAAAAAAAAAAAAAAAAGAAAGAAAAAAGAAAGAAAGAAAGAAAAGAAAAGAAAGAAAGAAAAGTGTTTAAGAGAGAAAAGACATAAAGATGTTTTTAAGCCAAAGGAAAAGAACAGGAAGAAAGGAAGATTCAAGGGAAATAAATATGGTTTGTGGGGCAGGATCTTTGAGGACTCAGACACAAGACAAAGAATAGAGACATTTTCCTTAAAAGGGAAGACAGAGAGACTTCTGCTTCAGGGTAAGATGTAGAAGTCATGGTAGGGCAATGCCCCTATTACAACAATTACAAAAAGGTGAATAAATTATAAAATCGTAGTTTTAAAGCAGGACTATGGGACAATAGGAAATGGATGAACTAAAATATCAGATGTAGGGCAACCATTCTGAGCCTCCATTTTTCCCTGGGAGATGTTCTATGTCTGGGTGAGGGCAAGGATCAGAACAGGCAGAGGGCCCTTGTTGAGAGACCGGAGAACCGGCAAAGCTTCCAGCAGCAAATGAGGCTGGTGTGACCAACTGGAAATGAGAGAGGTCTCAGGAAATCTGCTGAGCTCTGGAACTATGTGGGAGATGGAGGAGCCAGGCCACAGTCTCTAAACAATAAAGTGAGTTCTCCTGCATTCTCTCAGTACTTAAAAAATAAAACCTACCAGGGGTTTACCTCAAATACAAGGCAGGTCTTCTCTCAAGATGTTTGTCAGATTTTGAAAGACATATAAAGAGGTTTGATGGTTTTAAAGTATGTTCACAAATTTGCTTATACTCTTCCCTTCAGTGGAGCTAATTCCCCTCACCTTGAGGGTGGACTCTACTTAGTGACTCACTTCTGATCAATAGGAATTTCTGATGGCAGAAAATATGGACAGTAACCACTGAGCCTAAGTAATAAAAACATTATGATTTGCACTCTCTCTCTCGAATCACTCATGCTTGAATCACTCATAATGAATCACCATGTCATCAAGACACATAAGAACTCTCAGAGAAGCTCATGGTGAAGAAATGAGGCCTTTGGCCAGCAGCAAAAAAAGACAAAAGGCCCCAGCCCACAGCCACAGGACCAAGCTTGGAAGCAGGTCTTCCAGTCCCAGTCCAGTCTTCATTCTGTGGCATCTGCAGCCAACAGCTTGAGTGAAACCTCATGAGAGACCTGCAGCCAAATTCACCCATCTAAGCTGTTCACAAATTCTTGACACACAGAAACCATGACAAAATAAGTATTTGCTGTTTTGAGCTTCTAAACTTCAGGTAATTTGTTATGCAGAAATAGACACCAATACAGGTGTGAAGTTCAAGAGCTAAGCTAAAAACCTCTGAAAGGCAGAATGAAATCTTTCACAGTCTTTCAGGACTGAGATAGAAACCCGGATGGGCTCAGATCAAAAGGCTAGAAGAGCCGTGAACTAGATGTAGACTGAGTCTCACTAAAACTGAAGCTCAACACCCAGCTCAGCTCAACCTCTGTATTAAGCCAATTAGTCCTTACCCTCTCTGCCTAACAAAGGAAGCAACAATCTCTTTGGTGGAAGAGAACAACAACTGCAGTCTCTACTTACTACGAAGAAAAGGAGAATTGGACATCCAAAGAGGGAAGACCATATGACCAATAATCAGAAGAAAAAAAAATTTCAATCAAAGTGAAATCACAGATAAGCTAAAGAGAGCAAACAAGGTCTTTAATTTGATTAATATGTTTATTTAAATGAAGAAAAAGAATCATAAAGTGGATAAAAAGAAGGAGAATTTTGCCAAATAACTACTTTATAAATAACCAAGTAGACCTCTAGAATTGAAAAAGTAATAATATCTAAATATTAGGTAATAGTGGATAGGTTTAACAGTGGATCGGACACAGCAGAATACAGTATTAGTGAACTGGAGGAAAAACTAATAGCACCCGAATTTCAGAGAGGAAAAAAATAGTGGGAAAAATGGTTAAGAGCGTAAATAACATACGGGATACTCACAGAAGGTCCAACATACATATATTTGGTGTCCCAAAAAGGAGAAGAAAGAGGGAAAATTGGACAGAAGTAATATTCAAAGAGATAATGGCTGAGAATTTTCCAGTGATGAAAAAGGAAGAGAGATATTTCATCTTATGAAATATTACTAAAAGAGAAGAGAACAGGCGATGTAGAGAATTCTGATACTGGTGGGGTGAAACAGGCTGAGAGAGAGGGAAAATTTAAATAGTCATGTCTTCTCAGTGAAGTAGAACACAAGTTGATTTTCAGAGGATAAGGAGGTTTAAGAAAGTAAGTTTGAAAATTGGAGAGACTAGGAAAGGGACAGATTAGCCACTGTGAGCAACCCACTAGGGAATTAACTAGGATAACTGATGAGAAATGTCACATACGAAGGAGGACTCAACTGAGGCTATCTGAAATAATTTTCTAGTGGGAGTAATAAACATTATTGAGTATCGTTGGCCAGGCATGGTGGCTCACGCCTGTAATCCCAGCACTTTGGGAGTCCAAGGTGGGCAGATCACTTGAGGTCAGGAGTTCAAGACCAGCCTGGCCAACATGGTGAAAACTGTCTCTACTAAAACTACAAAAATTAGCCGGGCATGGTGGTGCACATCTGTAATCCCAGCTACTCAGGAGGCCGAGGTGGGAGAATCACCTGAACCCAGGAGATGGAGGCTGCAGTGAGCTGAAATGGCACCACTGCACTCCAGCCTAGAGGACAGAACGAGACCCGGTCTCAAAAACAAACAAACAAAACAACCATTATTGAGTATCTTTCTCTAGCAGTATCTAGAAGCTCAAAGTCAAGACTAGAAAAAAAAAATACTGCACATGCAACGTGGACACACACAGAGGTGAATTTAATAAATGAAAATAAAAGCAGTGAGAGTGAGGAAGTGGAAGAGACCAAAGGTCATAACCAAAGTGAGGAATTTGCCCTCCTTGTAAGCAGAGTAGCACTGAGTGCTTATAAGACCCAGAAAAAGGCCATGAATGACAATTTCTGAACCGAACTGAAATGCAAGTGATGATTATTGATGCCGAAAGGGTTGAAAAACTGTTACTGTGTTTCCCTACATCTGAGGTAGAATTCAAGTCAGACCCATTCTCTCATCCCTCTATTTCCTCTCCTCTCCTTGGATTCCTGACTTAAGCTAAAATGCAGTGTTTTCTGGGGTTGTTAAATTCAAATTTTTGAGAAAAGTTTCATTCTGTAAGCGTTCTTGCTAACATGAAGCATTCTTTTAAAATTTCTATTCACATTGTTAAAAATAAAAATATAGAAATAACAGTTTTTGAAAAGTCACTGTATTTAATAAATGCCTGCCTATTTTATTTTTGAGCCCCAGCCAAAAATATACAAACTGGCAGAATTTGAACTTCAAAAAAAGAAAAAGAAAGAAAAATCCACCTGACTCTTGAAATTTGAGGTGGAAAACACATCAGGTCAGCAAGTTTCAAAAAAAGAAGCAAGAAAGAACATCCCATTTCACGTGACTGCTTGGCTTATTAACACCGACACTGATAGAAGCATATTTTGGACACAACTTTGAGAAAAATATGACTCAATCCACAGCCTCCCCTTCTCTCCTGCCTTACCTGTTAAAAATGTTGTATATTTGCCTCTGTAATCCTAGCACTTTGGGAGGCCAAGACAGGTGGATCACCTGAGGTTGGGAGTTCGAGACCAGCCTGACCAACATGAAGAAACTCCATCTCTACTAAAAATACAAAAATTAGCTGGGCATGGTGGTGCTTGCCTGTAATCCCAGCTACTTGGGAGGCTGAGGCAGGAGAATTGCTTGAATCCAGGAGGCAGAGTTTGTGGTGAGCCGAGATCACACCATTGTACTCCAGCCTGGGCAACAAGAGCGAAACTCCATCTCAAAAAAAAAAAGTTGTATATTTGCTTAATAGTGATATATACCTTATGGGCAGGAGTTTTCAGCAGATGTACAGTTGTATGTCACTTTGAGAGTCAGTTCGCAGAAGGTATATCAAATACCCCTCAAAGTTTCGCCACACATTCATAGAAATTTCTTCCTCCTCAGATAAGTTTAACTCTTAAAACCTCAGAAGTACCACTTCTTTTCATAAAACTTAGTTTCTTATCTTTAAGTTTTTAAAAATTAGTTGCTTAGAAGCCAACGTCTACATTTAAAACCAAGAGTTAGCAGGCTCACATAATATTTTTAAAATACTCTTTCTACTTTGTTTTATTCTGTCATGTGCCATAACTTCCCAAGGTCAGACATTGTGGAAAAAAAAAATCTGTGCTGCAGTGTTTACTGAGGGTGCCAAAAGTAGAAAGAAACTAATTTTTCATAAGCTTAGTTTCATTTACATGACATTGACTTGAGCTTCTAAGTTTTAAAGACATTCCTAAGCTTCTAGAAATAGTTCCCTAGAACATTAGCTAGAAGAACAAGATCAGCTTTTATCAGCAGGAAGCCTGACTATCCTTGGATACAACATTGCGTTTGGGGGCTTTTGTTGGTGGGGTGGTGGGGAAGTGAACAAATTAATTTTATGAAATTCCCTTTGGATTTGGGACTGAGTAATAAAATGCCAAAAACAAATCCAATTGAAATGTGTAAGGAACCAACAGAGAGTCTTTGTAATTTTGCACCAAAGTGACTGACACAAAATTTTTAGTTTTTGAAATAATCATCCCATCGATGGGAGGTTTTCTATTTTCTCTTTAAGCTCCTCTTCTTTCTCCAGTTTAAGGCCTTTGCATAGCGTAATTTCAATGATATTCAGAAACAGTCACTCTCTCTTCCCTACACAGTAATTTTTCAGTAAAATTATAAATAAATCCCAAAGAAACCATCCTCTAAAGTGTTGATAGAAGATCATTTTTATGTTAGCCATCCCAAATTAAAAACTTCAGTGGTAAACCTGTGTATTAAAATCCCACAGCATTTTAGCCTACTAACAATTCTACTTTTTTGAGAAGAGGTTGCAGAGCCTGTTACAAAAGCCCATTGCATCTTGACAGGTTGCTTCTATTTTTAGCAATAAGCACTTTATTCTCTAAGATCATCCTTCATAGCTAGCTGTAGAGGTGGCTAGAACTATGTACTGGATCTTACATCTTTTACATTTTATAAACTATGTTAAACACACTCCCTCTTTAAAATTACTATTTTAACACAATTACTTACAGTTGTTCTATGAGCCAGTCACATTGAAGAGCTGTGCATGCGAACCTTGAATTCTAGAGTACCTAGCAGTGAAGGAGTGAGAAAGTCACAAAGCAAACATGGCGCATCTTCCTGAAAAAGTGATTTCTTTCCCTGGTGAGTAAAGTGCAAGTACTAGAGAATTGAATGCAACGTTTATGTGAATTTTTAGACTGAAACACCAGATTTCAAACACATTTGAAGCCTTTGGTCAGGTCATGTCCTGGGCTGGACATGACATTAAACATAACTTAGAATTTCTCTTTTATGGTCTCTGAAACTGAGTCCCATAACAACCATTACTGCAAAAGTTGAGTTTCCAAATGGATTCTCTCTGTCATGCAAAATGCATCTATGTATTTCTACTACCAGGTGCCGCTGATTCCCTCGGGCTGCATTCATTCAGCAAAGTCACTGAGTGTCTGCAGAGGTGCCGGGTACTGAGCTTTTCCTGTGACCACAGCACCCTCTCCCAGGTACAGTGTGTGGATCCTCTTGCCTCATGTTTTGGAACATTTAGTAGCCAGCTGCTGAGATCCATTTGGGGGCCCCCTTCAATTGAAAGCTGAACCAGAAAGTTTTCAATAATATTTAGACTCGATAATAGTTTTTGAATGGTGGGAAATGGAATAAACCTGTGCTAGTTAAGATTCCATTGTATGGTGATGTGAGAGGCCTGGGTGTGTTGAAAGTGAGAAAAAGCAGATAGCCTGATTCTTGCCCTTAAATAATTTGTAAGAGAGCCTGCCATTTGCAGTAACATGGATGAACCTAGAGGACATTATGCTAAGTAAAATAAGCCAGACAGGGAAAAAAAAAATACTGCCTGATTTCACTTATACGTGGAATACAAAAATAATAATTAAATACATACAAACAGAATAGAAAGTTGATTACCAGGGGTGGGGGCTTGGTAGGAATGTGGAGACATGGAAGCATATCAAGATGCAGTTAGCTGGGATGGATTACCCTAGAAATCTAATATACAATATGAGGACTGCTAAAAAGTGTCCATTTTTGGTACTCTTACTACAAAAAAAAAAAAGAACTATGCAAGGTGATGGATATGTTGATTTACATGACTGTGGTAATGACTGCACCATGTACACATACATCAAAGCAACATGTTGTAAACCTTAAATTCATATAATGAGAATATTTAAAAAGAGAAAACAGAGGTTACAGTTCGGCTATACCTCTGGGCCAACTGCCCACAGCCACATAGCTAACAAACCATCCTGATTTCCTTGCAATGCTAGCTTTAACTGTAAACAAAACTTAAGATTTTATTTTGTCAGCATGATTCTGAGCTAATCAGCTACAGACAAAACAGCTTATACAGTTCTACTTGGCCTAAAAGGAATGAGAGTTTATAATAGCCTGTAACAATAAAGTCAGTGTTCTTCTTCATTTGTGCTTCATGAGCTACACTGTAAATGCTATGACCTGAGCTACTTAGCACTTTTGGTTAGAAGTCTCCCAGTTCAAGACTGCTTTATTACATGCAGAGTAAACTGTTAAAAAAATTTTTAGGCCAGGCATGGTGGCTCATGGCTGTAATCCATGAGCACTTTGGGAGGCCAAGGCGGGCAGATCTGTTGAGCTCAGGAGTTTGAGGCCCACCTGTTTATAAAACAAGACTCTGTTTCTAAAAAAAACAAAAAAAAAATAGACTGGTGTGGTAGCACACACCTGCGGTGCTAGCTACTCCAGAGGCTGAGGTGGGAGGATTGCTTGAGCCCAGGAGGCAGAAGTTGCAGGTTTGCAGTAAGCTAAGATCTCGTCATTGCACTCCAGTCTGGGCAACAGAGCTAGACCCGTCTCAAAAAATAAAATAGAATAAAATAAAATAAAATAAAATAAAATAATAAAATAATTTGTAATCTCTGTATGCAGAAATATATTCTTATCAGACAACGGAGGAGCTTTCTTTAAGTACAATACATCACAGCATACGCTGGACACTAAGTACGGGCAACCTGAAGAAGACTGTTCACACAGTGGGACGTCAGCAAACAGTCCAAAAGACGAGCATCAAGAGAAAATCATGACTCAAACTTCAGCAAAGGTATAGGAGCCAGAAACCCCTCAGAGGCAGCAGCTAAACAGCCAGAAGAAATGGGGAAAAGAGAGCACCCCAGTCCGGGGCCCCAAATACATTCATACCTGGTTTTCCAGAGTGGAGCTAGCCCAAGGGCTGTACGAGGCCAATCTGACACTTCTAGAGCTTTCCATGAGTTTCTGGCCCTTCCTCTTCCAATCATTTTAGCCACAGGTCCTGGAGGTGACTTGGAGTTGACAGGGTGAGCCCTGTTCATGGCCCAGCCTTTCCAGCTCTGTGGAGTTGCCAGCGCCTTCACAGAACACGGAAAGGCCATCCACACTGGGCTCTAACATTGCCATCCCTCCTCAACGAAGCCACCAGCTCTCTCCACCAGGTCTCGCTGCACCCTGAGCACAGCTGCTGCAGAGCGCTTCCAACAGGCCGCCTATGACTGTCGGCCTGCTGCATCCTGCAAAACAAAGTGGCACATTTAACATTAGCAGAGGTTTTATTTACATCATTGGCTGCTTAACGACCTACCGTAGATAGTCTTCCGTACTTGTAATAGGTCAGATTAGCTGTGCTTCATTGGTTTCTAGACTGTTCTTTCTGGGAAGTGTTTTTATAGACTCATTAGTCAATCAGCTGGTCTTTGTGAAGGTTACGTGATTTCAGAACATCTCACTTTTGATAGGCAGGAGAGGTGGAAACTGCCCCCAATATCCCTCTAGAATAGTAGTGGTGAGTTAAAGGGATGGTATTAGTTACCTAGAGCTGCTGTCACAGATTACCACAAACCCGGTGGCTTAAAATAACAGACAAGCATTCTCTCACAGTTCTGCAGAAGAAATCCAAAATTAAGATATCAGCAAGACTATGCTCTCTCCAAAGGATCTAGGGGAGAATGGATACCTTGTCTCTTCCAGCCTCTGGTGGCCATCTGCATTCCTGTGGCAGGCCAGGTCTCACTACCAGCTGAGCAGGCAGCCTCCACGACAGCGGTTTCGGCACTGACTGAGTGGTTAAGTTAAATACTAAAAGCTGAAAGAGGTTGGGCATGGTGGCTTACGCCTGTAATCCCAGCACTTTGGGAGACAAAGGCGGGCAGATCACAAGGCCAGCAGTCTGAGACCAGCCTGACCAATATGGTGAAACCCCATCTCTACTAAAAATACAAAAATTAGCTGGGCGTGGTGGCAGGCACCTGTAGTCCCAGCTACTTGGGAGGTTGGGACAGGAGAATTGCTTGAACCTGGGAGGCGGAGGTTGCAGTGAGCCAAGATTGCGCCACCGCACTCCAGCCTCAGCAACAGAGCGAGACTCTGTCTCAAGAAAAAAAAAAAAAAAAAAAAAAAAGGCTGAAAGCCCCAGCGTCCTTATACAAAAGCTGGAATGTAACAAAAGCCCACCAAGAGTTTTGCCCAGGCCTTTCCTGGGCCTTGAAGCATGACAAGATAACAAAGGAATTCTTAACAGGACCTGTTTAGGATTAAACAAGTTTTATCGTGGGTCTGAAGAATCTCTCCAGATCTTCACAAACAAGTTTTATTGGGAACTCCCCAAACCTCCCTGATTTAGCAGGTGACAAGATAAGGGTAATCATCTCTGGCACCTGGACCCATCTACATTAAGTAAATTTACTGAGGCTCCAGAGGAAGGTCTTCAGGACTCAGACCTTAGTTATAGATTAGAAGTTAATCACTTATATCTTTGGATGAATGCACACTTACATGTACACATTAGCTTAGAAGGTATATAAGCTCCGGAAAACTTTGTAATTTTGAGTTGGCCCGGTGATATTTTCCTGGCCTTCTCCCTGTCCCTGGTTACAGAAATAAACTTTCATCTTTCCCAGTTCATCTACATCTCATTACTGGGCTGTGAGAATAAGCACCCCTACCCTCGATTCAGTCTGGGGACATTCCTTGGCTTGGGACTGTCTCTCTGCACTCTAT
Source organism: Homo sapiens (assembly GCF_000001405.40). Taxonomy (NCBI): domain Eukaryota; kingdom Metazoa; phylum Chordata; class Mammalia; order Primates; family Hominidae; genus Homo; species Homo sapiens. The sequence goes on along the minus strand of NW_025791814.1, from coordinate 89,224 downwards.
GCCTCTGTGGTCACATGGTCACCTTCTCTTCTGTCTGTGTAATCTTCCTCTGTGTTGTTCTTATAAGGACGCTTGCCATTGGATTTAGGGCCTACCCAGATAACCCAGGATAATCTCATCTCAAGATTCCTAACTTCATTACATATGCAGAGACAGGGTCTGGGGTCTCTGCCTTTTCCCAAGTAAGGTCGCATCGACAGATTCTGGAGATTAGGATGCAGACATATCTTTTTGGGGACAAACTATCCCGGTTTTCCAGGGACTGAGGGGTTTCCCAGAACATAAGAAGTTTAATGCCAAAATGGAGACTAATTGATTACCCTAACTCTGAGAAACAGATCCCAGAAGAGGAACACCCTTAGGCAGAGTTAGGCAGTGGTTCTCAAAGAAGTGGCCTGGACCAGCAGTACCAGCATCAACTGGGTATTTGTTAGAAATGCACATTCTTAGGCCCCACCCCAGACCTACTGAATCAAAAACGCTGAGGATGAGCGTCCAAAATCCGTCTTAGCAAGTTCTCCAGGTGATTCCAATATACACTGAAGTCTGAGAACCTTTGGAGAAAAACTTAAGTCTTGGCCAAAAAAGCACAAAAAAGCAGAGAACAAAACCCAACTGGAACGTTAGTTCTCTGTGCTGGCAGCACATTTGAATCCTTTGAAAAGCTTTGTGAAAATCCTGATGCCCAAGCCCTATAATTGGTCTGGGGAGGAGCCCACACAATGGTGCTTTTACAGAGCTTCCCAGGTGACTATTATGTGTGGCAGGACTCAGCACCTAAGCCACGAGGCTCCATCCAAGAGCAGCTTAATGAGCACGTGAGCAAGTGAGGGGCTCCAAAGAGGTTGCTTGCTCCTTTGTGCACTAAATCACAGAATACGCACTAGGCTTTTATTTTGAACTTAAAAAGAGTGAAAGACCATATTTCCTTGGTCTACATCTACAGATGGACAACAAAATGTAATTTCAGAGTAATTTGGCAAGCAGAAGTATGTGAATAGCTTAGGAGCAAAACAAAACAAAACAAAAGTTCCCAAATTAAGATAGAACAAAATGAAGGTGTGATGTGGAGGAAGGGTAGAAATGCCGAATATTTTCTCTGAGGTGAGAGGCTATTTTCCACACCTGGCAAAGTGAGCCCACCAGGAAACCACAGCAGGTTGACAGGGGATGCCGCACTCTGCCATTATGCACGTAGCCATTGCAGCAATATTTTGACTTCTGTCTTTTTTTCCGCACTGCTGCAGCTGTGGCCAGGATTCCCTCGCAGTTCCCAAGAGAAGGGAGTACACCATGCCATGCAGGACCAGTCGGGAGGCTGGGGAAATCCTGGCCCGGAGCCCTCATGATGGTTTCCATGGTGAAGCAGAGTAGATAAGTTTGAGCAAGTTTAGGATTGGATAGTTTGAATAATTTCAGCAGGCTCTGGGCTAGAGAGATGGTCTCTAGTTGTCCAGTACCTGACCTTTGGGGCAATTTAGGGCAGAGAAAACATTGGCTTGGTATATGAGCGTTTGATAAAAGAGGTGGTTGGTGATTTGGGCTTTCTTTTATTGTTTTGCACATGAAAGGCGTGTTTGCAGGGAAAATGTTTGCTATGTCGGGAATTCGCTAGCGCTGGAAGGGATCGTCTCTCCAGGCCCCAGAATAGCAAAGCATCAGCAAAGCATCATAAAATGCAAAAAATACACATATGACTAATATACCCACATAATCTAAAATCACAGGGCTCTTACCCTCAGGTATGCCTCATAGGGAACCTGAGCTTGTTAAACCGGGAAGCTGGTGATGCAGATCTGGGAGCCAACTGAGTAGAAACCATGGGTCTGCCTACGATTATCCCGCAGAGAAGGAATAAGGGGAGTGCGGTGCCCAGAGCGACTCTTCCATGTATTAGTGAGCAGGAGGAAAGGAACACCCAATAACGGGGAGAGAAGAAACCAGCAGAGAGGAAACACAGTGACAAGAGGATAGGGAACTCTGGGATTGTCCCCCAGAGGGTCAGCCAGGATTATCACCAGTGATATTTGGAGGGAAGGAAGGGAGGGCCAGCTCTCATATGCCAGGTGGGTAATTTTTTTCCAGAAATGCAGACAACTTTTTTAAAGAAAATTGGCTGTGAGGAGAAGGACAGGAGTCTTAGTAAATACCAGAGTAATGGAATGACTTTGTTTTTAAAGCCAGAGTAGACTTGACCATATTTTTACAGGAAGAACGGGGACCATGATGTGGAAGAAACGGAATGCTCACGTAAAGGAGAACTGTGGAGCAGCTTTTTTGGACAGCTAGGAGGAGAGTGATCCGGCACACAGGGCAACGGGGCAACTTTATAAGGGAACAGACATTTCTTCATAAACAGGAGTGAGAAGAGAGATGAGGCTAAGCCACGCCGTCCATAAGAGGAATGAAATTAGGATTTATATTGGAATGGCTTCAGTCTGCTCAGTAACATGGGAGGTGAGATCATCTGCTAAGACTTCAGGGAGCAGCTGACAGTGGATAAGCGTTTAAAGAGAATTTAAAGGGTATGTGGCAGCTACTGGGGAAAACCAGCAGAGTCAACTCTGAAAGAAGGAATGACCTGCAGGGAGGATGGACAGAGGTTAGAGCTCAGGGGGACACTGGGGAGCAGGTGTTCCCAAAAACAGGAGCATTGATTGAAAGTCTGTGTAAGGGCAGTTACCTCCCAAGCTGTCCACCTCCACCCGGCATGAGGCTGAAGTTCATTCTCTAGAGAGACTGAAATAGAGGCATCACTGAGGTTAAGAGAATTCAATAAAAATGGACACACTAAAGGGTAAGACCCCTGAGCCCCTTCAGTTCAGAGCACATGCGTTGCCAGACTTATACTCTTCCCGCTACACACTCATGCTAGGACTTTGAGGATTTCTCCTGAGCCCTAACAATGATCCAAACATAATAATGGAAAGACCCAGCCAAACCTCCCTACCTTGAAGCCATGGGTCAGCAAGCCTTGCCCACAGATACTTTGGAATGCACTGCCTTTAAATATGAACTATCAGCAGACATTTCACAAAAGCATCTACAAGCACAGGGTTTCTCAGCCTCAGCACTATTATGATTTGCAGCTGGAAAATCCTTTGCTATGGCAAGGTGTATTAGTCAGGGTTCTCTAGAGGGACAGGACTAATAGGATAGATGTATATATGAAAGGGAGTTTATTAAGGAGCATTGACTTACACGATCACAAAGTGAAGTCCTGCAATAGGCCATCTGCAAGCTGAGAAGCAAGAAGGCCACTCCAAGTCCCAAAACCTCAAAACTAAGAAGGGGACAGTGCAGCCTTCAGTCTGCGTCCAAAGGCCTGAGAGCTCCTGGCAAACCACTGGTGTAGGTCCAAGAGTCCCAAAGCTGAAGAACTTGGAGTCCAATGTTCTAGGGCAGGAAGCATCCAGCACAGGAGAAAGATGAAGGCCAGAAGACTCAGCCAGTCTAGTTCTTCCATGTTCGTCTGCCTGCTTTATTCCAGCTGTACTGGCAGCTAATTAGATTGTACCCACCCAGATTGAGGGTGGGTCTGCTTTTTCCTGTCCACTGACTCAAATGTGAATCTCCTTTGGCAATACCCCTACAGACACACCCAGGAACAATACTTTGCATCCGTCAATCCAATCAGGTTGACACTCAGTATTAACCATCACAGGGGGCTATTCTGTGCATTGTAAAATGCTTAGCAACATCCCTGGCCTCCACCCGCTAGATGCTAGCAGCACCCACGCCAGTTGTGACAACTCAAACTATTTCCAGCTATTGACAAATATCTATTGAAGATGAAATATCTGCCTACTCCCAACCCAGTTGAGAATCACTTATTTAACATGAAAGGAAAGACAAACTCTAAAAAATAAAAAATAGAAAAAAAGAGATGTTGCAGGGAGCATAATATATCTTTTGGGGAAAAAACTGTAATTAACATCCTAATAGCTATGAGTAGATACTTTTTAAATAAAATCAGAAAAAAGTGTGATTACAAAAAAAATAGATTCAAGCAACTAAAAATAGACATAGGAAACTAAAAATATCAGGTCAAAATGAAAAACAGATGCATTGAAAGGCAAAATTGAAAAAAGAAATCTTCCAGCTAGTAAGACAAAGTGACAGAGAGATGAAAATGGGAGAGAAAAATAAACAAAATAAAAGGATCATTCCAGGAAGCCAACATCCATATAACAGATATTTTAGAAAGTTACTTCAGATAAAAATGGAGAATAAATTACCAAATAAATAATTTAGGAATATTTCCAGGAACTGAAGGATGCAAGACTCCAGTTGGAAAGTTACCTTTAAACATCCAGTACAAATGGATGAAAGACACTTACCTCAATGCAATCCATGTAAATTTTCAGAAAACTGGGGCTAAAGAGAAGAATTTTAAGTATTTTAGAGTAAAAACTAGGGCACAAAAGATTGGAAATGAGAATGGTGTTGGATTCCTCTTCAGCAATAATGGAAGCTATACAATAAAGAACAATTCAGAGTCTTAAGAAACAGTGCCACGTGTTGAAAAGGATGGGCAACTACTAAAAATCTCATGCGTTGCTGGCAAAAATGCAAAATGGCACAGCCACTTTGGAAAACAGTTTGGCCATTTCTTATAAACTTAAGTACAAACTTACCATATGACCTAGCAATACCACTCATTGAAAAAGAAATGAAATAAACACATATATGCACACAAAGACTTGTATGCTAATGTTTGTTTCAGAATGAATAATAAAATCCCAAAATGGATGCAAATAAATTGTCTATCAGTTGTTGAAGGGATGGTACAGGATATCCATACTAGGGAATACTACTCTGCCATAAATTGAAATGAAATACTGGCATACACAACAACATGGATGAATCACAAAACATACTAAATAAGAAGTTAAACACAACAGTCTACGTAATGTATGATTCCTTTTATATGAAGTTCTGGAAAAGGCAAATCTATAGTGACACAAAGCAGAGCACTGGCTGCCTGAGGTTCAAATATAGAGGGGCATGAGGAATTGTTTTAGGGTGATAGGACTGTTCTGTATCTTGATAGTAGTAGCCGTTACACAGCTGTATACAGTCACCAAAATCATAAAACTGTATACTTTTTAATGAGTGATCATTATTGCTTGTAAATTATGTATCAGTAAAGCTAATAAAAGAGTATTAAAAACCAAAAAAATAATTGTTCACCCCCTAAAATTGTATACCTAGCCAAACTATCATTCAATTAAAGTGTTAAGAAAAATACATCTTAAAAATGCAGAAATTCAATACCTTCTAGGTCCCCTTTCTTCACCTTTCTTAACAGGATCCTAAAGATATATTCCATCCACATGAGAAAGACAACCATGAAAGAGGAATGAACATATGATGACCTAGGACAGGAGAAATACTGAACAGCTCCCTGAAGGATAATGAATAGACACTCCAGGATGGAATCTGTGCCAGAGCCCTACTGGAGCATGAAGATGGAGGAAGAGTCTCTGAAAAAAAATTTGAAAAAAGGAAACTACAGGTTACTCTTGAGACCTTTGAATATATTAAGGAAAAATATATTTTTGGTGGAAAGTCCAGCATTAAAATAGTGGTAACTACATAAAAACTAAGCAAAGGTAAAATTAGAAAATTATTAACTCCAGGAAAGAAAATGCGATGACAGTATGTTAAATGACTCAGCTGTGGATTACATTAACAAAGACATAATAAAGAAAACATCAAAACATCAATTGTATTGAGAAAATAAGGGAAAGGAAAGATCAGGAGGAGAGGCAAATCCTCATGTTTCATGTAGGAAGTCATCATACAATATCTGAAACTGAAAAATTAAGAAAGAGCTACATAAGCAAGTTTTAGAAATATGGAAGTAAGTGCCCAAAGGAGCAGCTGAAAAAGTTGAAAGCTATTTTGGCAGGGAAACAGGACATGGAAATGGAAAATTTGGGGTATAGAATGCTGATAGATTCTTATCAGCTTAGTAGAATCATGTAATGTTTTCACAAGTAAGAAACAAAAGCCAGGCAATGGGCCAAGAGGGAAGGGGAATGTGTATGCTAAAAAAATTAGGCTGACTTAGAGGCAGAGGCTAAAAAGAAAATGAAGGTTAATGGGGGTGGTTGGAAGAAATTAATGAGAGGGCAGAGACACAGTCATAGTGGGGCTGTGGAGCAAGGTCAGTAAACGGCTGTGGTTGCAGACATGCAGAGGGAATTAATGGAGGCAGCAAGAGGGTAGGGGTGGAATTCAGCATTCGGATCAGAACAATGTGTTTCGAAAACCATCTTCATCAATTTTCTGTTCATCTGCAGGTCAGTTCTTCAAGCACTTCATTTTTCAAACAAAATGTCCCTTTTGTTCTATGCTAAATCATTTTATCAATAAAGAGTCATAATAATGAAGAACAGTTATCAAGACAGTACTGCCGCTGCCCAAGTTTTCAAGGGACACATGCACTAAACACTTACATGCTGTAACGCTTTGCTGGAAATTCTGCCTTTGGCAGATGAATGTGCTTCTCTTTACATACCCTGGTCTACCAGATTAACTAAAGGTCTGCAGGACTCATGATGAACATGATTAAGAAAACAAAGCCTAAGCCATGACATGAATATTATGCTTTTAAGAATTGGCTCCAAATAAGTCTAAAAGCATAGACAGGCTAAAGCCCCTAAATACAGAATACAACCAATGGCATTATATACATCTTCAAAATGGAGATAATAGTTCCCAATCTGTAGGGTCAGTGTCAGGGTTAAATGAAAAAAAAAAAAAATGAGAGCACTTAGAATGACATCTGGCATGGCATGTGAGCTGGACACGTGTTCATAGTCACAGCCATGGTGGTCACAGCTGCTGGTGGCAGCTGGCATGGTAGCATGTGTGGTACCACCATGCAAGCTCACCTTCCCCCTGCACATAGAGTCTGCTCCTCTTTGGCGGCAAGTTTACACCCTGCTTTGTAATGCACTTTAGTTTGATCCTGACTTTTCTTCCTTGTTAGGCTGAAATGTTTCAAAAAGCAAGAGCTCTATCTCATGTATCATTGATTTTTCAACATGCTGGAGTAGGGGGACTTGAAAATAATAGATGCTCAACACTACAGTGAAATAAGAAATTTTTGAAATAATGAGCATGACCCACCATTCAAGGATGTTTATCCACTCTAAAGGGTGACAGAGAATTTGTTGTCTGAGGCTCCACAATAAGGAACCTATGGACTTTCCTTTTATTTCATCCATGGGACATGGGTTGGCAACAGTTCCATCTCAGATGTGCTCCTTGATAGATGGAAGATACAGACCCCCTGGCTCCTCACTGCCTGTTAATAAAACATAAGCACCTCACTTTCATTTGTAACTTTATGAGTTAGAGTGGTGCTAGGTGGAAGATACAGACCCCCTGGAAGATACAGACCCCCTGGAAGATACAGACCCCCGACTTCTCACTGCCTGTTAATAAAACATAAGCACCTCACTTTCATTTATAACTCTATGAGTTAGAGTGGTGCTAGCTGCTATAACAGGTACGTCCCCAAATCTCTGGGATGCACACAATAGTAGTTCATTTATTGCTCAAGTTAAATCCAAAAGAAGTGTTCCTGAACATCAGGAGGCCTTCTATATGACCATTCAGTGACCTGGATGCTTTCCATCCTGTGGGACTCTGCAATTGTCTCCATCTGTTAAGACTGCTAAAACAAAACTGCCATCAAATGGGTGGCTTCTATACAGGAATTTATTTTTCACAGCTCTGGAGGCTGGGAAGTCCAAGGTCTAGGCATAGATTCTGCATCCAGTGAGGGTCTGTCTCCTGGTTCATAGAGGGTACCCTTTTGCTGTGTTCTTATGTGGTGGAAGAGGCATGGGAGCTCTCTCAGGTCTCATTTATAAGGGCATAAATTCCATTCATAATGGCTTCCTCCTCATGACCCCCCTCCCCCATCCAAGATCCCACCTCTTAACACTGTCACACTGAGGATTAGATTTCAACATAGGATTTCTGGGAGAACACAAACATTCAAATACTAACAGCCCTCTTAAACCAGTTCCAAAGTCACCCTAATGGGCATGAAAATAAAAGTGCTATGTGTGATCCTCCATTCTCTTTCCCCATCATGGAAACAAGGATAAAGAGAATGGAGGACCACACATAGCACTTTTATTTTCTATGCACCTGGCTTGAAAGTGGCTCATGTGGCTTCTGCCCTGTGGTTTCACTGGCCTGGACTCAGGCACGTGGCCACATTTCACTGCCAGGAAGGCTGGCCAGTGTTGACAGGCTGTTCCCAAGATGAAGAGAAGACAGGCTGGTGAGCTGTTAGCCAGCTCGGCCACAGTGGCCATCTGTCGTCCAGCCTGGCCTTCACCTACCTCTCCAGACTTAGATTCCACTGCACCCCTCCAAGCTCCCTATGCACTTCCCAGCCTGGAAGAGTTGCTATTCCTCAAAAGAAGTGTTTTCTTGCCTCTGAGTGTGGCCCATCCTAAAATGTCCTTTTCCCTATCTCCACCTGTTCAACTTCTATGCTTTCTTCGAGACGTATATTTCTCTATCAAGTGTTCCCCTAGTCAACATTGATCTCTCCCCCTTCCCATTCTTCATCTGTTTGTCTCTCAAAGGACTCACCACTTTTACCTCATTAAGGAACATGTCTGTCACTTCCATGAAAAAGCAAACTCCTTGAAGACAGATGGCCACGTCTTGCCATTGTGCCTCACCGAAGAAAACCTATAAGCACTACCTGTGCCTGACTGCATCCTTCACTCTGTCCCCATGAAATTGGTACAATGCCTTGGACATGGTAGATGCAGAGTGAACTAGAGCCCAACTCATGCTCTCTGGTGTCACCTGCCCCCGTCACAAACTGACCATGGCTATCCAACTCCTAGAATGAAATCTGTTGCATCTGCAGACACGGAGAGTGGGCTTGCCAGAATTTGTGGCAGACAGGGTTATCCACTAACTATGTACTTATCAAAGGCATGGTAGAACATGTTTTCTCCTACCTCAAAACCAAACTACAGGGAAGTTATTTTCTTTCCCACCTAGTGACTTTGTTTCTTTTCTCTCTTCCCTTCCAGTCTCTCTTCCTTCCTTTGATTCTTTTCTTCCTTCTTTTTGCCCTTCCTCCAGCTTCATTATTCTCTTGGTCTTTATTTCTTTCAAAACATTATTTACTTTTTTATCTGCTATGTGTACAAGACAGATCTGGATCAATAATCAGTAATGAGGTACTAAATTACATAAGCTTATTTTTCCCGCTTTGATCTTCTGCAAGCCAGCAGAAAATTTTCCAGAACAGAAGGGGTAGCATAGAATAGGAAAGTGAACCTGGTCCCTTTCCCCACCTGCCAAGAACCTACAGCCTTCTTGCTTGCAAATATGGTATGTGGCTCTATTCAGACAAGGTAGCCTGGATCTGCTTCAAACAGGCTGCCAATTGATGCTTTGCAGCTTGATGTAGATTATGCTGGAGCTGCTGATAAATGCAGTTCTGAAAGCAGCCAAAGTAGAAATAAATTTTCTGTATCCTCTCACTCAAAGTTGATAGCTGTGCTTGAAGAATAAAACATCAGGCTCCACCTAGCCGGCTTCTCTTCTTTGGCAGATGAACTTGTTAATATTTGCTTCCATCAACTTGAGACATCTGCATTGTCACTCCCGTCAATTGCTTTCATCCAGTTTCTGGACCAGAAAGTGAGAACTTTGGCTATATTTTCAGTCTTTGATGTGTCCTTGAACAAGTCACTGTGGGGACAAGAAAGCTGAGACAGTGTCTAGGGTGAAAGAAAGAACTTTTGCAAGGAAAGGCAGCCCCCAGTCAGCACTTAGCTCTAAGCACTCAGTTCCAACGAGCTCAGCCCCCAGTGATAAGTAAAGGAAATCTGAGGCTAGGCATGGGGGCTGTGACAACTGTCCCACAAGGATAAAAGACCAGGAGTCAGTACAGTTAGAAGCAGCATCCTATGGGGCAAAAGGCACAGGCTCTGAAAAGTCTGCTTAGATGGAATCAGTGGTTCTACCATTCATGAATGACCTGGGAAATTTGTCAAGGGACTCTGTGCCTCTGTTTATTTGTCTGAAGATTGGATAACTACAAGTGTCCGCCTCAGAGGCTTCTTGTGAGGATTAAAAGGAGATAATCCTTGCAAAGTCCTCAGCATGGCATCGGGCACAGAAGAAGCACTCCTTGAACACTGGCCACGTGTCTGAGACTGGCTAGGTGCTCACCACCTCCATCTGCTTATCTGGGCAAATAGGAGGATGATCTTCCCACCCTCCCTTGCAACCGAGGCTGTGCTGTGTGATTTGAGCTGACCGATGGAATGTGAGTGGGCATGGGCGCCACTTCTAGGCATGATAATAAAACAAACAAACGTGTGCAGTGGGTTGAATATCACCCCCCTAAACGATGTACCCAAGCCCTAACTCATGGAACTCGTGAAGGAGACCTTATCTGAAAAAAAGTATTTTTGTAGATGTAAGTTAAAGATCAAAAGATGAGATCATCCTAGATTTAGGGTAGGCCCTAAATCCAATGACTGCTGTCCTTGTAAGAGGCAAAAAAAAAAAAAAAAGAAGAAGATTCACACAGACACAAAGGGTGATGTGAGGATGGAGGCAGAGACTGGAGTTCCGTGTCTACACTCCAAGGAATGCCAAGGACTGCTGGCAGCCACCAGAAGCTAAGAGAGCCATGGAACAGATTCTCCCTCTGTCTCCAGAAGGAACCACCCCTGCCAACACCTTGGTTTCAGACTTCCAGCCTCCAAAACTGTAAGACAATAAATTTTTGTTGTGTAAACTATCCAGTGTGGAAATTTGTTATGGCAGCCCTAGAAACTAACACATTTTGTGATCATCCAAACTCTTTCTCTCAGAAGCAAATGACCCAAAGACATAGTCATCCAAGGGACAGAACCTGCATCCCTGAGTCACTGCCTGGATGGAGAGCTGCCTAGATAGCTGCACAAAGCTCATCAGGCTTCACAGGAGTGAGAACAATACTTCCTGTGTATTAAATCACTGAATGGTGGGGTTGTTAGTAACAGCATCTGGCATTGATTATCCAAGCAATATGACTATTATTCTTAAGGGATCTATAGTAGGGATCTAGATAGAGAGGAAAAGAAGCCTGGATATTAGGAAAGGTGGTGAATAACTAATTACAATGATTGAGTAACTGTAGTTAGCAGTTCCAGCCCCTCACCTTCAGTAGCATATCAAGTTCTGGACCTTTCTAGTGGATATGGGTTCAGGATAGAGCGACCCACACAGTCCTGCTAAGCCCCACATTATCCCCACAACCTACTGAACTAACTGTTGTCTTAGAGACTAAGTCAGACTTCTTATTACAAACAGAATGATAGAGTCCATGAACCCTATGGAAAGCCACTGGGGAGACCTCAGATTGGGAATGAGTGTGATTCCAGACCAGAGGAAGCCAAGAGAAACACCCCAGGACTGATTCAATCCAGAATGAGCATCCAGTTTAAAGCAAGTTAAAAATGATGTAATCTATCTAGATGGTAACTCAGCTTGTTACACTGCCCATAAAGGAAACTAGAAAATCACAGCATGGGACTTAAAAACTATAGGAAAAGAGGAAAGACAGGACCCTGGAAAATGCTGAGGGGCTACAGTGGAATCAATTTCACCCCAAACTGAATTGATTTTAGTTAGAATAGCTTTTCACAGTCCTAGACTAGCACAGGTGCTGGGAGGTGGGCTCTGCTATTTGCAGGCTATAGGGTCATGCCTCTCTGCAGCCAGGGTGGCTGAGAGCTTTTGTCCACCAAAGAACATTGGCACAAGGCATCAGGGAGCCTCCTGGGAAGCAGCTATCCCAAGGACAGAGAGCTTCAAGGTGACTGAGGTGACCAAACACAGAGTTGTTCTCAGGGAGTGAGGACCATTCCATGAATGGTCTGAGGGTAATGGGCATCCCACTGGGATGAAGCTTCCAGAAAAAAATAGAGACCACATCTCTCTCATCACCATACCTTCAGGACTTAGATGGATCCCAACACAAAGCAGTTGGGTCACACCCTCCTACTCTACCTTCCTTCCCTTCAAGGAAAGGGAATAACTCTTGATAGACATAAACTAAGTTAATGTCTACCCATTTTTATCTTAAGGCACTGATTTCTTAATTTAAAAAAAAGAGGTTGTGAAAAATAAGACATAAACAAACCATGGTACGTATGGTCCAGAATGCTTGGAACCTGAAGTTCTTCAACAGAGAACAAATAGGCAAGCATCAGGAAGACAGAGAGGGGCCAGGCCATGGGTAACGTGGCACAGGGAAGGGAGGGGATGAACATGTGCACAGAGCACATCCCTGTTTTAACCTGAGATGCAGAAGCAGATTCAAGATGTCAGCGTATCCCAGAGAGTGGAGCACCAAGTCACACATGCAAATCAGTAAAGAAAGCAGAGTCCCTGAAGCCACCGAAATGCATGTTCCACCAGCCTAGAAAAGCAGAGGGAGAGTTCGTATACAATTCCCAAGGAGGCAGAAGAGAGGGGTTCATGGCTGAAATGCCTGTGATCAAATAGGTGAGGCTGACGCAGCAGCACGTGATCTTGTGATAGACACTGAGACCCTCACTCTTGGGCTGAGGGTCCTTTCTCCTCCTCCTACCTCTCTGGTCCTCTTCTAGAAGCTTCTGCCTTCCCAGCTATCCATGGAGTCCTGTCCCTTTCTCAAGGACACATTTGCTTTTTCATAAATGTGAGCTTCACTGCGACACATCTTGCATTTTTCTCTCATGCTCTTAGCTGACCTCTCATATATATGTCTCTTAAGTCTCCCATTTGAATGAAGCTTCCAGAGAAAGTAGAGACCATGTCTCTCTCGTCTTCGTACTTCCAGGACTTAGATGAATTCCAACACAGAGCAGATGGGTCCTCCTACTCCACCTTCCTTCCCTTGTAGGGAAGCTTTTCCTTCAAGGAAAGGAAATAACTCTTGATGGACAAAAACTAAGTTAATTTCTGCCCACTTATATCTTAAGAGGCTGATTTCTTAATTAAAAAAACGAGGTTGTGAAACATAAGATGTAAACAAAACATATGGTGCATATGGTCCAGAATTCTTGGAACCTGGAGTTTTAGCTAAAAATGCCCACGTGTCTCCTTTGCCATATGTCTTGGGATGGGTTCTCCTAGATGCAAACCTTGAGACAAGCATTTAAATATAAGTGGTTTGTTTGGGAGGTTTTCTGGGGAGTATCAGGAGGGAAGTGAGCATGTGAGACACAGAGCAAAGCCCATGCAAAGTGCACCCTCCAGCAGTTTACTGCGTGTGACCTGGGGCTCACCCCTACAACAGAACTCTGGAAGGCAGAACAGTACAGCCTCAGAGTGATTTCACATAGAGAGCAAGTTAGCTGGGATATTTATCCTCCAAGTCCCACCAGGCATTGGCCAGGAACGGTGCTGAGCGGCAGGAATGCCAATCACTTCCAGCTGCCCTGTGTGCTGGCTAGGAGATGCATCAGCATTAGCTGGAAGGATGAGTGCTGGGAAGATGCGTGCATGGATGGAAACCATCTTCTGCCATTCCAATCACATGTCTCCAGGCCACACAGCACCAGGAGAATTGGACAGGTGTCAACCGTCTGGGGAACTCAGGCCACATGTGTGCCTATCTACCTAGTTTAGGCCACAAAAGATGGCCCATGAGGCAGAGACTGTGCTCTTCTCCGTCCATACTCCCAGTTGTCCACCGCCTTGTCCCCTTCCTGTGGCTGGACATGAATGCAGTGGTGATCCATCTCAGACTATGAGAGAAAGGGCAGGACATTAAAGATGGCCAGACAAGGTAGAAGTTCTGGTCCTAATACCAGGAAGCTGCTGCTAATCCAGACTCTTACAGATGAGACACATGAGCCCTGTCATTGAAGCCACCGTTACTGGGGGTGTCAGATAAAGCGCTGAGATTCCATCCTAATGGCCACATCCCTCCCCTCCACTCTTCTGAAATTCACACTGAAAAAGCAATGGAGTGGGCCACTGTTTGTTTGCTTTTGCTCTTTCTTCCATGTCTATTCCCAGGGAATTCAAGCAAGTGATTGGGCAACCTAGCCAGCAAGGGGCGTCTCAGGGCCTAGATGGACAAAACACAGCCTCCCATCTCTGGTGGAGAGTTGCAGATGGGTGGCAGCAGCCTTGCTGAGGGTTCAGCTGCATCAGGGTATGCACTGGCCCTGAAGGATGCTATGCCTGGGCCTGACCTGTGGTTGCAGGCAAGCGCTCCATTTCTCAGAGCTTTGCTTCACTTGTTTATAAAATGCAGGGCTGGATGAGGTCCCTAAGGTAGCTAGCAACATTCACGCTCTTTGATTTATAAACATGAAAACACATCAGGGAGCCAGTAGATGTGGGTGAGAGGCACTGAGTAAATGAGACCTGGATTGGGAGCCAGGCATTCAGAAAGGAGCTGAAGAATGCCTTTGTTCATTGAGACCAAGACAATCGAAAAGGGGGACCCAACAACTCCAATCACTGTCCCACGGAGTTCCCTCACCTTCACACACCCACAAGGAGGTTATCAAAGTCATAGAACACCCACTTTCTGCTTTACCACCCCACCGGTCCTTTACACTGGGTGGATGGGCAGCTCCTCCCCTGGGAGCTTGACAGAAGTGGGGCCAGGGAATGCAGGGAATGGCATGGTATTTCAGGCAGGAATACAAATGGTGCAGAGTCTTCACAGCTCCCTCTCGGCCTGCAGCTCTGCAATGGCACAGCCATTTGCATGGCAGCCAGATTTATTGGGTTGGCTCCGTGCCTGGGGTTGCAGAGGCTGCTGGCTTGGTTGCAAACAAATCACACGAAAGAGCCTGAGCAACACCTGAACAAGGAGAAAATTGTGGCCAGTGCTGGCCACAGGCCAGCCTCCAAAGCTCACCCACGGTTGTCAGGCCACAGCAGCTGACGAACCACGATGCTGCTGGCTCGCCTCAGCCCTTGGCACCTCCCTGTCCAAGGGGGTCCTACAGAGACTGTGGTATAATCATGTTGCTGCAGATCCCACCCATTCCCAGAGACCAGGGCTGAGGACAGTGTGATCTGCCAGCCATCTCAGTAGCCTCACCACCGTACCACAGTTTTAAAGACCAGAAAACATTTCATCAGCTCTTCTGTATCTGCAGTGTCCTCACAGAGAGGGATGTACTGGATGACTGTCTCGAGGGATGCTGTGTGAGCTGGGGTGATAGTAATCAGTGCATGCATAACAGGTGAGCTGCAAGACCACACCAAGCATTAAGGTACTAGAGACATGGCACAGAAATTACCACTGCATTATAATTTCCAAGCTACCACGAACCTAGTAGCTTCAAACAACACAATTTACTATGCTATAGTTCTGGGGCTCAGAAGTCCAAAATGTGTCTATTATAATAAGGTAAAAATCAAAGTTTTGGCAGGGCTGTGTTCCTTCTGGAGACTCCTAGGGAGAATCTGTTCCTTCCTTTTCTAGAGGCCACCTGCATTCCTTGGTTCTTGGCCCCTTCCTCCATCCTCAAAGCACATTCCTCCCACCCTTTTTTCCAATGCTGATCCTCTCTTGCCTCCTTCTTCGAAATATGCTTGTGATTACATTGAACCCACTCAGGCAATCCAGTACAATCTTTCCATCTCAAAATCTTTAACTTAATGACATCCATGAAGTCCTTTTGGGCATATTCATGTGTTCTGGGGTTTTGGACATGGACATCTTTAGGGGTCTTATTCTGTCTACAGTCATCACTATTGGAATGCAGAGGCAGAGGATCCCCAAAGGACTTGAATCATGAGAGGCATCATGGGGGCACTGGAGATTACAGAACCCAAATGGTGCCCCACATGGATAGGAAGCACTGTAAGTTACAAAACACATTGGTGTTCAATGCCTCCTACTAGATGAATAGGGTGTCAAAGACTTCAGGCTCTCAAGTCAAACCCAGATGCAGAATTCAACCTCATCTCTCAATAGCTGCATGACCCTCATCCTCTCTGAGCCTTAGGTTTCTCATCTGTAAAATGCGGATAAAGTACATCCTCTTTAAGACTATTAAGACTCAATGAAATAATATGTGTGAAGCCCTTAATAGCTTGCCACAACCTGATACACAGGAAGAGCTCCACATAGGTTGCTTTTAATCCCTCCCTACCATCCTGGGAGTTATGTCCATTTTATAGAGGGGAAGGTTGCGGCTAGAGGAAGTTGTGCTTCTTTCCCAGGACAACTCCAGTACTAGGCTGGCTGACCACAAGCCCAGGGCAGTCCACTGCCTACAGTGAGGGTAGGCTAACAGCAGGCATTTGTTCTATACAGAAAGAATGACATGGCCAGGCATGTTGGCTCACGCCTGTAATCCCAGCACTCTGGGAGGCTGAGGTGGATGGATCACCCGATGTTAGGAGTTTGAGACCGGCCTGGCCAATATGGTGAAACCCCATCTCTACTAAAAATACAAAAATTAGCCGGGCATGGTGGTGAGCACCTGTAATCCTAGCTACTCGGGAGGCTGAGGTGGATGGATCACCCGACGTTAGGAGTTTGAGACCGGCCTGGCCAATATGGTGAAACCCCATCTCTACTAAAAATACAAAAATTGGCCGGGCATGGTGGTGAGCACCTGTAATCCTAGCTACTTGGGAGGCTGAGACAGGAGAATCACTTGAACCCAGGAGGTGGAAGTTGCAGGTTGCAAAGAGCCTGTAAAAGAAAGAATAGCATGGAATAAAGTAGGATCCTGGGTTTGCAGTTTTCAGGTGCCTGTTGACCTCAAGACCACCATAGGCTTGGGGATTTGTTCAGCTTTTTGGGGGAATAAACAGAGGCCTAGAAACGTACCTGTGTCTTGGTGCCTATCTGTCCTGAATTCCACTCTATGTCTAGCCATTGTAAACTAGGATGACAAGAAAATCTACAGTGCAGTGGCTTTCTAACACCCTCCTTAGAGAGGAAAATGAAAAGCTGAAGCATACCGGCTGACTTTGGACTCTGACCAGATCAAGGTCTTCCTTGACTGTTTACTGAATGAAAACATTAGGGTTCCTTTATGTACCTCTGCCCTCAAATACACTGGGAAAGATGATTTCTGTAGAGTGCATGCCACAAATGTGGGCATGGATGTATTTATTCATTCTTGCTGCAAGTTCTTACAGAGCACCTGAACCGCTGGTAAAACGGGTGTCCCTGACCTCATGGAGCAGCATGGAGGAGACGAGTATTGACTGGACAATCACAGTGATGCCTGTGAATTACAGTTGTAATAAGTGCCATCAGGAACAGGACCTTAGGTGAGTCGGGTGAGTAGGTATGTGGGAAGGGTTGGGGTGTGAGGGGAGGGGGCTGTGGCAGAAACTGCAGTGATGCCCCAAATCTGCTTCCTCCACTTCCTGAGCACACAGGTGGACTGCATTTCCCTGCTCACCTGCACATAGGCGAGACCAGGTGTTTTCTCCCAGCCAGTGGAATCAATGTCAATCAGTCACTTCTGGGTTTAACCCATCAGAAACTTTTGACACAGCCTCCCGCATGGAAAATGCAGATGACTCTGGAGCACCAGTCTTGGATTCTGCTGCAAGCAAGAAATAAAGTTCTACTGGGTTCAGGCACCGGGATTTGGGGGTTTGTCTTTCCATCAGTTCGTTCTCCCTCAACTACTCCAGAAAGTAACAGGTCAGCTCAGAACTAAGATGATAGGAAGTACCAGATGCAGAGAAAGAGGGGCAGGGTGAGATTGAGAAGCAGACTCAAGCATCTTGATGTTGGGGCGGGCAAGAGAGCACATCCCAGGAACATCAGAAGCCTCCAGAACAAGAGGAGAGGTGGCAGTGTGGGTGCCACACAGAGGAAATTGGCTTTATCCTATGAGCACAGTTAAGACATTAAAGAATGTTGAAGTTTGAGGGGAGGTAAGCATGGAAAAGATGATAGGACCAGGTTTGCAGTTTTTAAAAATTACTCTGGTTGTTACAGAATATACTAGAAAGAGGAAATGATGTGGTGATATTGGAGGGATGGTCACTGAAAGTATCCAGGTATAGAACAGTGTTAGCTCTCAGGATTAGCACTGTCTAAGCCTTTGCACCTGTCAAGAGTTACAGAGTCAGCCACAAGTGATTTTGTCTAGAGCCAGACATGCCGCATGTGTGGTTCCCAAACCACAGTGCTTGGTTAGAAGGCCTGGGTACAGGTGGCCTGGCTGCAGCAGAGGGAGGAAAGCAGCCAGCCTAATATTTTTGGCATCAGTAAGGTTCACATAAGAATACAGCAGGAAGAATACAGCAGGAAGGCATGGACTCCTCCTAGTTACATCGAATACCATGTGATTTCACCTGAGTCTAGGCATTTCTGTGCAGGAATCCATCTCATTAAATCAAAGACTCAGCCTGGCTTTGAACAAGACAACATCTAACAACATAGTTCATGCTGTAGGTAGCCTAGAAAATTCTTACTTAGCTTGGGGGCTACAAGAAAGACCCCCAGTAGAAGCCCCAGAAGCACTAACAGAGAAGTACATCTCTCTCCTTTGTGAGCTGTCATGGTCCATGTGATGGTAGTAGCTCTTTAAACCGTCAGATGCCAGAGAAAGCCTGAAGCACAGGCATATAATATAATGAGTGGTTAGCTTTTTTTTTGGTGGGGGGCAAAAATTTCATATTCAAATCAGCTTTACAGGGCAGAGAGCAAGAACAGTGGCTCTACTTTAACAATCCTCTGGCGGTTTTATTCATAAAGCCTGATCAAGCCTTGCCCTCCAGCAGGTGCCCTCCAACACATGCCTCAGCCCAAACCCATCATCATCCCCTCTCTGCAGACTCCTAACTCCCATGGAGGGCACATAAAGCATAGCAGCATTCTGTTTACCCTTAATTCTTATTGAATTAAGCAACTGTTAACAAAAGAGCAAAAGACTTCCTAAAGGGCAATGGGGCACTGAACATAGTGCATTGTCACAGCTGTAGGGAAAATGGAGCCAGTCTTGAAGCAGCAACCAGAGGGGAAGAGTGGCAGGCAATGAGCATAAATCCACGTTGTGCAGTAAATCGATGGGCAGTAAACAAAGTCCAATCTACTGTTCAGTCTGATCAAATTACAGAAAATGAAGCCCAAGGGTGAGCTGAATGTTATGGACTGAATGTTTATGTCCCTTTAAATTCACATGGTGAATCTCTAACCCCCAAGATGATGATATTGAAGTGGGACCTTTGGAAGGTAATTAGGCTTAGATGATATCAAGAGGGTCGGGCCCCATGATGGGATTAGTACCCTTGCAAGAAGAGAAAGAGCTGGGCACAGTGGCTCATGGATGTAATCCCAGCACTTTGGGAGGCTGAGGTGGGTGGATCACCTAAGGTCAGAAGTTTGAGACCAGCATGGCCAAAATGGTGAAACCCCATCTCTACTAAAAATACAAAAATTAGCAGGGCGCGGTGGTGCACACCTCTAATCCCAGCTACTCGGGAGGCTGAGGCAGGATAATCGCTTGAACCCAGGAGGCAGAGGTTGCAGTGAGCTGAGATTGCACCACTCCACTCCGGCCTGGGTAACATAGCGAGACCTCCATCTCAAAAAAAAAAAAAAAAAGAAGAGCAAGTTCACTGTCTACCATGTTACCATGTGAGGACACAGCAAGAAGGTGGCTGTCTAAAAGCCAGGAAGAGAGACCTCACCAGGAACCAAGTCCTGCAGCACCTTCATCTTGGACTTCCTAGCCTCCAGAACTGTGAAAAATATGTGTCTATTGTTTAAGCCACCCTTGTATGGTATTTTGTTTTAGCATCTCTAGCTAAAAGAGTGACCAAGGGACTCTACCTTGATTGTCCATGATTTGAGCTGTAATCAAGTGAAATCTCCTAAACATGACATTTGTGTGAATCCTCATCTTAAACGCAAATCCTAAATAAGCCCTAACCCTAAACTCTTCCTGTTCAATCTCCCCTTACAATTATACTAATTTATTTAGGTTAATCTCCACAGTCTATAAAATGTGTGCATTCAAAGGTACAATAAGAGACTCATAAAACTTGAGAAAAGATGATCTTATGAAGTTAAAATCAATCAACCCAAAATAGCTGACCCATGCAAATGACAACCCGTGAGATGGTCTGTCACTATAACTGTTGAGACTGAAATCATGCCCAAGCCTCCCTCAACACACAGGAAGATGAGACAGAACAAAGAAAAGGAATTGAAAGTAGTCGGAAAGAAGAGACAAAATTATTGTTATTTGCAAGTGATAGGACCTGGAAATCCAAAAATATTCACTGGAAAATGATCAGGAATGTAGTTCAGTAAGATGAATGGTTACAGAGCTAAATCTACAGAAATCAGTAGTTCTTTGAGATAACAGCAACACCTACTAGAGAATGCTTTGGAAAAATATTGTGCTTACAAGGACAACAAAAACTATGAAACACTTAGAAATAGAACAAAAAGAAATGTGCAAGACCTATATGAAGAAAACTACAAAACCACCAAACGTCATAAAATGCTATAAAAACAATAATATAAAGACGTCAATTCTTCCCCACTGTGCCCTAGTTTATTTATAAATCTAATATAATTCTGCCTGCCCATGGTGTTCTGTTCTTTTCTTGGGTGTCTTGGATGTTCTATTCTTGGATGTCTGTGAGACCTGAATAATTCTCTCTTTTTTTAGCTAGTATGAGTGGGTTTCTATTCATTGCTACCAAATGACTAACTCAACCTAGGCTACCTCTTCATCTCTCATGGGCTCATGTACCTTGAGTCTCAAGTCCTCTCCTTCTTCCTGCACCTGTCTCCACATGGGCTTTTGCAGCTCCTTGAAAAAAAAAAAGTTTTTTAAAACCTTTTTTGCAACTTTTACCTGTCACCACACCAGCCTTGTCCCAGCTCAACATCTCCCTCACCTTAACTGGCTCAGCTCCCATGAAGGTTAATTCAGAATCACTAGAGAAATATTCAGACAGGCTGAGCCCACCCCTTGAGTCAAGTGCCTACCACTGGTCCAACTGGCTGTAGCCAAGGGAAACTGAGTCCCATGGCTTCAGTTGAGTGAAGTGTTGTGTGTTGCATGTTGATAAGGGAAGCTATGGTTGACTCTTTACCACACTGGTTTATCAATAATGACAGCTTACATTTATTAGACACCTACACTGAGCCAGACACTCATGCATTTTGCCTCATTCTAAATTCCTAACACTTTGCCAACCACCTTAACACAAAGATTTTATCATCACTTTGCTGTTAAAGAAACTGGCTACTTGAGGTAGGTAACTTCTCTGTAGTCATTTGACTGACTGTAAGTCAAAGATGGATCCAGTTTCAAGTCTCAAATACTTGGGTTCTTGCCTCCTGGCCTCCCCAAGTTCAGAGAGCAGAGTCACATCCCCCAGGCTGAAGTGTAATGATAAATTCAGCCTCTGGGATGGCAAAGTTGTGCACCTCCTTCTCAAGGACTTTGCCCAGACACTTCTTCACCAACCACCACCCTTATTTACCCAGGAACTCCTGTCAGCCTTCAGTGTACTGCCGGGCATGGCTGCACCTGGAGAAGACTTGAGTGATTGATTCTCCATGATCTGCCGTGCTGTGCCCCTCCTTCCATTCCAGCATCTGCTTATCCTCGTCCCTTCCCCACCAGACTGACAGCACCTTGACAAGGACTGTCCTGCTTTGCAGCCACTGCACCAAGTCCACACCCACAGCAGGAGTTGAATACACATGGCTGAAGGGACATTGAATTACTGATGCTCCAAATTGCTGGCACCCCATAGCACCTCAGGAGTTTCCTTCCTTTACCCTAAATAAATACTGTAGCCCATGGTAAGGAAAAGGTGCTCCCAAGCCTGGAGCCACAATCCCTTGTCCTTCTTCTGGTTTTATGAGACCATAGACTCAACATACCCAGTTCCTATGCTGATGGGGGCACATTTGGAATCTTCCTCATGCTGTTAGCTGAAGCTCTAGACCCTGATGAATCTACCTGGGAAGTGAATAGTTAAATTCATCCCCGTGTTTCAAAGGAAAGCCGTTATACCCCTGTCCTGTGATTGGAACAAGAGAGGCACATCACAATCTTTGAGGGACCTCTCCAAATTTCACGTCTCTCACCCCACTTTCATCCTTCTTCCCCCAATGGGCCATTGTTACTGAAAGAATATTCCCAGTCCCTTGGGGACATAGGGAAGAACCACTCCATTGGGATTTTCTGCTGTGCATGGAGAGTCCCCTCTAAAGAAAGCATCCTCATTATAAGCCAGATTAGCTTCCAGAGGGGTCAGCGTTGGGACAGCACTGGCCAGAGTGCAGCCAGTATAGACAGTGCCCCTACTTCCTTTAGGTGAACTATTCAGAGGATGGAGGTGCTTGAAGTATGAGGTGTGGTGAAATTGATCCAAAATATGTAAGTGTTTGTTTTGTTCCTGGCTTACTTTACATTGGTAGCTTAAGGGAACGCCAAAGAAGACTACATGGAGACCCATCTGATTTCTGTGGCATTCATATCTCTGCTGTCTCAGGAAGCTTTTCCTGGAGTGTCCCCTCAGCCTGTGGTCCTCTTTTCAGTAGGGACCACAGCATCAGGAGCCCCTCAGAGTCCTCGCTGGTTATCAGGGCCAAAGTGATCCTGTTTAGCTCTCTGATGATTGGAAATTCATCAGAATCTATGAGTTTTCCCTGTCTCTAACGACTGCAGGGAATTGTCTGGCAGGAGAGATTTCCTTACACAAGAAAATATGCACACTTTCAGAGGGATTTTTGAGACAGTAAATCACCCAAGCATGCCAGTGTTTCTTGACCTGTGCCTTCCTGACAATAAACGGGGCCCTGCCGCAGGAACAGCGGCACATCCACCTGCAGTCATTGCCTTGCCCATGCCTCACTCACACCATCCCTTACATCCACACACCCATGCACACACATGTGCACACACACGATGTCATCCCTCACCCCTTTTCCCATTATTCTTCATGCTCCACCTTGACCCTTTGTTAAGGAGCTGGCAAAGGAAAGACATGCAATGTCCCACTGTGTACGACAGCAGTCGTGGAGCATCTCAAACATCTCAGGAGGTTGAAGATGAGATGTGACTTACACATCACGTTATCATGTGGAAAAGTGCAAACAAAAGCCACAAGTGTCTCCCAAGGAGGGTACCCACCCAACCAACTGGCTCCCAAATCAGTGGCGGTGAGGTCCTCTCTATGTGATGGACCTCTCCTCACTGCCTACAAAACTACTTCGGGATTTACAGAACAGTTTACCTGCAAGGTTTGCATGGGAGAAGGTGGAATGGAAGAGAGGCCTGATAGCTTCTCTAAATTGCTACAGGTTGCAATAAATAACCCTACCACGTGGCAAATCACAGCATAGAGGAAGTTGGGGAGTTTAGAGAGGGTGCCAGTACCCTGGAGCCACACAGGTGCAGAGCACTGCAGGTAAGCTGCAGAATGGCCTATAACAGGCTAGAGTGTCCCCTTTGGAGATCTGAAATGGGTCTGCTGAGTAAATCTGGGGATGCTCCAAACACAAATGCATCACCTTCTCCCATTTTGTTCTCCTGAATCAGTCATAATTCCCCAGGGAAACTTCTGTCTTTGGCACCCGAGGATACAGGGCTCTATTCCCATGATAAGAAGAAAATACGTTGCCATCGCCAGCCAGCACTTAGGACTCTCCAAATGAGGCAAGCATGGCTGAAAATGGATCTCTCACTCTCAGCAAAAAAGCTCCTAACAGAAGACAATGTGTTACATCTCTGACTCCTAAGAGAAAGAAATAGACACCTGGCTCACAGTCACCTCTAACATCGGGTAAAATAAAGAGAGAAAGAAAGGCAGTCACTTGAATTCACTCATCGTAACTTCATTTTATTACAACATCAAGGAAAATAGTTGCAGGAGGAATGAAAATGGAGAGAAACATAGAGATTAAGCTACTCACAATTCCATTGTCTATACCTTCCTACAAGGGTATAAATATCACAGGTTTCTGTACATGCATTGGAGGTTTGCTATGCGTGTGTGGATTGTGTGTGGATGACTTCTCTCTAGGGTGTTGTTCTTTTAATTTCTTGACAGATGATGGTTGAATTTGGTGTTTTCAGGTGGACTAGGAGGGGGTTCTCCCACTAGGACTGAGACCCAGCCTTCTTCTTCTGGAATTTTCTGAACTGAGACTGAATGGCCACCGCTGCACGTTCTGTCTCTGGTGCATCCATGTCAATGTCAAATTCTTCTTGAACTTTCTTCTGTCCATCTGTAGCAAGACAAACACAAACAGAAGGCAATCACTGAGCTGAAAATAGGAAAGCAGACAGCCCCACTAGATAAGTGAAGCCAGGAAGTCCACCTTGGGGCACACACAGGGGCTTAACTTACACCCCAGGACAAGAGCTCATCTGCAAAGTAAAATCCAGTGGAGTGTTTTGACAGAGCTCAGAATCTACCACCTGAGCAGGACAATGAAACTCAAGGACACAGTCTCAACACTTCATGTATTTTCTGCACATGATTTTCTGTTCTCAGTGACCATCTTGATATATGGTTTTAATACTGGCTGTGCTGTTACTTTCTCCTGCTATCTCACAGAGGTACCATTTAATATTGCTAAGATATTGGTCCAATGATAGCTGATATTCACAATTACTGAGTCAGCAGAGTCATATACTGAGTTTCCGTGTATAATTCTGTGTGTCATTCTCAGGAAAGATTTGCTTATTGCAATCAGGGCTTCCATTTTTATCATCGTCAAGATGGGATGACACCATTTGACCTTCACAGTTCGACTGAACTTTCACAAAGCTTACATTCTTGTTCCTATGAGGTAGACTTGGCAAATGGCTTGCTGAGGTGGAGGGATTTCACCAATTCACACGGTGACAGGACACAAAGTGGGGGGTGGTGAGGAACGAAGGCTTGGGCCTCTGTGCTGTATACCTTACCACAGCACAGGGCCAGTGCAGCCAAGACGGAAAAACAAATAAATCAATAAAATTCTTCAGTCGTGGAAGGTAAATGTCTTTCAAAAGCCTCTAGTCTGATGAGACCCGGCGTGTTCAGGGTGGTATGGCCGTAGAGTGTATAGTGTATGCTGCTCAGGTGATGGGTGTATCAAAATCTTACAAATCACCACTGAAGAACTTACTCATGTAACCAAACACCACCTGTTCCCCAAAAACCTACAGAAATAAAAAACTAAAATAAAATAATAAATGCCTCTAGTCTGATGAAGGCTAAACATCAGATTCATCAAAGGCATCGTTTTTCTTTTTCTTTCTTTTTTTAAATACAGGCATGAGGGTCTCACCCCAGACTCAGGGCTTCCTCCTTGCACAGCCGCAGTGGGAAGGGTGCTCCTAAGAGCAAGATGGATGTTGAGAAATCCGTGTCCCTGTGGGGAGGCCAGACATCTACACTTCTTTTAAAAAGACTCTCAGGTGTGGCCAGAATTGAGATCCAAGGACAAAGGAGGCCTTGGAGTTAGCTCAAGCCAGAACTGGGGACAGAACTGACCTCTCCTGGGACCTGGGCCAAGAGCCTCGCTGCCACCCTGGGCTTGCACCTAGAGCAGAGGAGGCCAGCCCTGTGAGGAGCACAGCCAACTTGGAGATGGGAGAACTGGAGGCATTCTGAGGCAGAGGAAAAGCCCCAGCCAGTGAGCAGGGAGTGGGGCTCTATTCCTGAGTGTCACCAGGCAGCCTGAGTTCATCATCCACTACCTTGTTTAGGGACTTTGCATAATAATGCTCAGGCACCAGCTCTATCAGAGAGGGTGGAGGAAGCTGGGGTTCCTTGAGGACTTGAGGTAAGGCCTGCCTGTTCTATCCTGCTTGCTCTAGATAGATGATGATAGATAGATAGATAGATAGATGATAGATAGATAGATAGATAGATAGATAGACAGATAGATAGATAGATGATAGATAGATAGATAGATAGATAGATAGATAGATAGATAGATCAGAGAGACAGACAGACAAACATAAGTAGATGATAGACAAATACAGATAGACAGGTAATAGATAGATGAGAATCAGCACTTATTTCAGATGCATCTGCAGAGCTGTAAGCAGCCTCCTCTCAATTTTCCTAGATCCTAATCAGTTTCCACCTGGGACCCTTCAATCATCCTCTCACCTAGGAGGAGGGAATGTCAGCTCTGGCTTTGGAAGCCTTGTAGGACTGATGGAGCCATGACCCAAATCAGAGAACTGTTGTCTTCTATTTCAAACTTGCTGCCAATGCTCATAAAAGCAGAGATGTTGAGTGCACCAATGTTCAGGAATATTTCAGAGGCAGGGGATGGGGGTGCTTCCTTTTTAACCCAGGACAGCCCAAATGATAGACAAGTGGAACTGTTTCTCACACTCCAGGTAGCTATTCACATTGTCTTCTACATTGCCAGGGCCCTTTCTTTGGAGAAAAATAAGGGGTAGGATCACTGGGAGAAGTAAAAGTTTCCTGTGGCTCAAGTAGATGTTTTAAAAGTGGTTAATTAATGTTATCACATGAGCCTGGGACTGGAGGTCAAGTGTCTAGCAAACCCAGAATGCAAATGGCTCCAGTGTTTGTGCTCATGGCAATAAACCCTTTTGTACCAATAACATCCTTGGTTAGGTAGCATCTACAGCACTGGGAGTTGTCATTTTTCATAAGATGGTTTATAGTCCCAAATCCTTCTACTCCCAGAGGAATCCTTGCATCAACTGTACAGTGAGTGCAAAGGGGAAAAATTCACTCCTGATTCCAAGTAGGAGGGGAAGTTTCCCTTTTAAATGTAAAATGTTGCTGGAATCTGAAGTTTTTAAAGGGCCTGATTTGTCTTTTCCCTTTTATAATGATGGAAGAAAGCGGCAATATTATTTTTTGACAAATGACAAATGAAGACGCAGAAAATTATGTATATTAAGGAAATATATAATGAAACAGTGAGGACAGTTCACAGAAATCAATTTTGCACTTATATCTTAAACTGATATCTCAGCCAAAAGTGACTGATTGATTCCTCATTTGAAAAATATTACATTGTTTAAAAAAGAAACCACTAACATTTAAGGAATCGCTACTTTTCTGTATACTTCAGAGAGTCCAGTTCCCGGGGCGGCGGGGAAGGTCAGATGCTGTTAGAGGAGTGGCAGGAGCTCCTTCCGCTGAGCCAGTCAGGAGTGTGTAAGGAAGAGAATGGGGCACCCGACTGCAGTGGAGAAGGGACAACCAATTAGACTCGGTGGCACAGGGTTCAGTACAAATGGTCTGTGGCCCTGGAAGTCAGGAAAGTACAGTTCTAAATACCCCAGATTCAGCAGGCACAAAGGTAGGGGAGGAGAGTAAGGGAAGGGACCACAGCCAGGCACCCACTCCCAGAACCACTCTTCAGGGCCTTGGAGCCTGCCAAGGTTCCCCAAGGATGACCCCAGTGGCAGTGACAAGGCCACAGGAGCAGGGTGGCCCTGTGAGGAGCTTCCCCAGCCCCATCACTCCCGGGCAGAGGCGGGGACCCACGAGCAGTACAGGGGGCCCTTTCTACTGCTGATACCCACAGGGAAGCCCTCGGCCACGCCTGCTGGGGAGACTGAAGAGCCCTAGGAGAGGACATTCCCCGAATATGTCCCCTAGGGGCACGCCACACCCCCAAGCCTGCATTGCAGTTCTTCACGGTGCAATTGCTACCCATGACTTTACTTCTTTGTTTCCTTCTCTGGTTTGTCCTCGGTCTTCTACGCTAGAGCGTGAGCTCTGTGAGGCCCGGGACTTTGTCCGCCTTGTTCCAACAGCTTACATAGGATCCAGCGCACACACACAGTAGGTGTTCAATTAACAACTGTTGATTGCAAGTGAGCCATTAATTAATATGCTAGGCAGCTGTCAAAGGCATGCCTTTATCTGGAGGACTAAACAAGCACGGTACCCTCCTTGGTAACCATTTAACTTCAGTCTGTGAGGCGAGTCCTTGTCCTCACTCCCTGCAGCATTGTCATGGAGGAGGGCCTCAAGGGGCCTCCAAGGAGGCATGTAGCTGGGAGCTGTCCTGAGAAAGCCACTGTCTGGGCAGCCAGAGGGACACAGCCCACAGGGGGCACTGTAAGGAAGATGGGAAACCTGGCACCTGAGAATGACGTCAGGGAGCACTGCTGTTTCATGGGGGAAAGCCTCAGGAAATGCTCAAGGCTGAATGGAGAGAAGAGGGGCACAGGTGTCCAGGGGCAGACGTCCAGACCTCAATAGGCACACAGGGAAAGAGGAAGGCACAGGTGTACCCTCATGCCCCTGGGCCAGGGCCTGTGGCCCCAGAGGAGCCTGTGGGGACCCAGCAGAACAAGAGAAGCTCCAGGCGGGTTTCTAAGCCTCTTCTTGCCTAGAACAGAGCCTGCCACCAATAGCTGGCCAGGGAATAAACAAAACCCGGGGCCAGGTGTGGTGGCTCATGCCGGTAATCTCAGCACATTCAGAGACTGAGGTGAGAGTCTGAGACCAGCCTGGGCAGCATATGGAGACACCGTTTCTACAAAAAGTTAAAAATTAGCCAGGAGTGGTGGCAGCTAATTTTTACACAGAGCTGAGCATAGTCCCAGTTACTCAGGAGACTGAGAGGGGAGGATCACTGGAGCCCGGGAGGTGGAGGCTGCAGTGAGCTATGATTGCACCACTGTACTCCAGCCTGGGAAACAGAGTGAGACCTGTCTCAAACAAAAACAAAAACAAAGAACACAGGCCTCGTGTCCCAGCAGCCAAAGCCCTCAGTCTCCTTGGGGATGAGAGGCTGCCTCTCTCCTCACACCTAGATACTCTCCGCACTGAGCCAGGCACCCTGCAGAAGTGGGTCTATGGATTTCAGGTAAAATCTGAATTTGGGGATTGCCTCTGACTGCTCTGTGACTCTGAAAAAAGTTCTTAGCTTCTCTGGTGCTCAGTTTTCTCATCTGGAAAACAAAAGCCTGTGCTACCTGGCTCCCAGTGTTAGGTTTATGTTCAGATCAACACTCGGTTGTACCTTAAAGCACAGGCCACACTGTACTGGGCATGGCGTGGCCAGAGCTGCAAAGGCCAGTGAAGGGGACGTGGGCAGTAAGGTGGCTCTCCAGCCTCAGGGTGTCTGTGTCTGCTCAGTGGTGAGATTCATGGATCACTCGGGCCCTCATCCAGGGAGGAAGGGGGCACTTTCCATCATGGCCGCCCGCATGGCCATCATGGTCAGCTGTGTTTGCTGGGCTTGTTGCAAGATGGCCCCAGCTCAGAAATACAAGGCAGAAAGAATATCCTTAAAATTTGTTCAAAAGAGAGACTTCCCACTGCCGACCGATACAGTCCACAACTCACAAGTCATGTCACTGTAAAGCTTAGACAATACAAAAGGACATTCTCCTTAGCTACGAGGGCACACACCACGCCCTCCTAGTGGCCTAGAGGCCTTTGCAGAGCTTCTGTGTCCAGGAGGGAGCAGGGCGTCTAAACGAGTGGTATGGACGAAACGAATGCCATTGTCATGTCCAGATTGCAGTACAATCATTTCCGTCATGTTACCACTTTCTCCTTCACACAGATGGCTGAAGGCTTAGGTCTGGACTGGGTGGCCTCTCCCTGACATGTGCACATAGGATTCTGCCGCGTGTACTGGAAAATCACTTTGGCCACGCCCACTCTCCATGGAGGCTTTTCAGTCTGAGGGAGCAGCATTTTAGACTAAATTACATTTGGCCTGAGGATGCCTCCATACTCCAGTCCTCAAATAAAAACTACAGTCTTAGTACAAAAACTAACTAGAAGCCTAACTCAGGAGTACTGTACAGGCATGCTCTGGTCAACAAATAGTGGGCTCTCCATCAATCACAGCAGCCCATTTTCAGTCAATCACAGGTGGGCAACTTACTCAAGCAGGGCAAAATGCTGCACTGTAACCAGTTAAGCTGCCTCGGTGCCTCACGTCTGCTTTCTGCCCATCAAGGCTGCCTGACCACGTGGCAGGCTGGAGTTCTGAGAACCTGTTCTGGTTCAGAGAGACGCCTAATTCTGGAATCATTCTTTGCTCAACTCCACTACATTTGACTTGTCTACGGCTTTTCCTTTTAAGAAGTATTTCACCAAAACACCTTGTAAGCCATCCAGGGCTTCACAGTTGTCATTACTTGTATTTGCCGCAGGTCCTGGAATTCTACCTTTTCCCACTCTGCATAGACATTCTGAAATTTTCAAGCTGACCACAGAACAGTCAAGAGATATTCATGCCAATTAGCAGATCTGATGTAAGAGAACAGCAATTCCCACTCCACTAGAAGACGAGGGGAAACCCGACTTATTGATCACTATAGCTCCAAAAAAATGGTCCCATGATTCAACGTCCTGTGTGCCTGGGGGGCCATTATCCCTCACAAGGCCTTCAGACATCAGCCAAGTCCATCACCTGTAAGATCTCACCTCAAAGGAAGTGACAATCAAAATCTATCAGGCTGGGCAGCTACGTGAACTGCTACATTATCTAGCTACCTGTCCATTACCTGTGCACCTGTCACATTGCCCTTTCTCAACAAACAGTGTAGTTGCAAAATGGCTCCAGGCAATGAGGCTTTTCCCTCTGAGCAGAAACCTCATTAAACCACCAGGACCTGACACAGAGCTCTGCCAATGGCCCTTGAATAATGAAGAAATGATGCTCCCTGAGGCTTGGAAAAATAATGAAGAAATGATGCTCCCTGAGGCTTGGAACGTCCCCTGATTCAGTTCTGCCATGACCTCCACTAGGAAGCAAAACAGTCCTATTCAAGTTTAAACTTTGCACTAGTATAGACATTTCTTATGCTACTTTCCTGAAATACTGCCTTTCCCCCACAGAAACTGAATAGAAGGTGGCCTCTGCAATTATATGTTTTATTATGTCACAAGAGAAAGCTCAGGCAGCCCTTCTTAAAGATGGAATGGTAATAAAAACCACTCTTTATTGAGCATTAAATAGATCCTCCCTCATATACTCAAGTAGATTTTATTTTACAGATCATTTGATGGGCAAATATAAAATAGAGAATCATAAATATAAAGGTTAGGAACTATTATACTACCAGTTGAAGACAGTCCCAAATGAATTTTACGAGTCTCAGGGCCAGGCATGGTGACTCACACCTGTAATCCTAGCACTTTGGGAGGCCGAGGCAGGAGGGTCACTTGAGCCCAGAAGTTTGAGACCAGCCTGGGCAACATAGTGAGATCCTGTCTCTATTTTTTTTAAGTCTCTGGTATTGTCATGAAAATCCAAAGAACAGAAAAATGCTTTGATAAATTAAAATTCCACTTGCATTTATCTATTCTGATACAACAGAGTTTGGTGCTGGAGCAGAGGTTCTCACATCAGTCCCATAGTCCATCAGCAGATACTTGTCGAGAAGAGTATGAGTTTGCTCGGGCTGCCATAACAAAATACCAGAGACTAGATGGCTTCACCAATGGGAATTTATTTTCCCACAGTTCTGGAGGCCAGAAGTTGGAGATGAAGGTGTTAGCAGGTGTGGTTTCTCGTGAGGCCTCTCTCCACCTTTTTGCTGTGTCCTCACCACATGAGGACATTAATTTAACATTAATCAATTAACCATCTCTTTAACCATCTCCAAATGTAGTTACAATCTGGGGTACCAGAGGTTAGAGCTTCCACATATTAATTTGGGTGGGGAGACGACACGGCTCAGCCTATAACAGCACCTGACCTAATTTGGAGGCTTCATAGGTTTTAAAGTTGCTTTGCATCATAGAGAATCAGAATTTAAGATTCCCTATTTTACAAAGAGAATTTGGGCTTCTGTAATCTGTAGTTTGGACTTACGTAGTCATTTATGAGAGCTGAGGAAACATTCATCATCCCCGTTCTAGAAGGGCCTCGCTTAAGATCACCTCGTGAAGACTGGCCAAGCCTGACTTGGGATCTGGGTCTTGTTCCAAATCTTGTTTTCATCCTGTGGGGTTGTGCTACTTCATCTCCTTAGATGTAGACCAAGCTGACAGACTTCTTTATGGACCAGTCAATATAGCTCTGGGGGAAAAGCATCTCTTGGATGGTCCAAGTCTAAACACATAATACAGTCAACCAGCTTGCAAAATCTGCTGGTTTACCAGGCTGTCTGGGGGAACTATACCAAATTCATGAGTTCGGCGAGTGGTCTGAGAGAGCCATCCCTGTCCTGGGGGCTGGGAGAGAGCAGAGAACAAACCTAGTCCCCTCCCTCCCCAGGAAAACAAATGGAAAGGTAAATGCACAAGTAAGTAATAGAATTTCAGAGATTCAAAGAGCAAAGCAGGCCGCTGGAGAGTGTGAGGTAAGATTGTCAGGTGGGGCCTCTGCCAAGGAGCCATCCTGGGAGGGGCACAGCCCCACAGTGAGGCCAACCAGGATGGGGGCGGCAGCCAGGGCTCTTCACGGATGGTGGGAAATAGCACTTCCAGAAAAATGGTCTTCATCTGTGCATTCACAATCTAAGAGGCAGGCTTCAAATAATTAACATAAATTCCTAGGAAATTAACAGACATGAAAAGTCACCTAGGGCATGACAGAGCTATTCATGGATCCTGCAACAGTCCCAGAAAGGATAAAAAGTTTGAAACACAGCACAATTCAAAAATATATTAACCCCTAAACTTAGGAAAGGAAACTCTCAAATCTGTTTGTTTCCCAGTTGATGGCGATGAAAGGTCATTGCTCACGTCATCATGGTTAGATCATTGGAGGAACCAGCAATAAATCACCACAGCAGCTTTTACTTTTAACACACAGACACACACACATACAACACGCCACACACACACAACAGACCGACACATCCACTCCCATCACACAGTCACACACCACACACACTCACACAAACACACCACGCACACACCACACCAAACACACATCATACCACATATGCAAACACACCACACACATACCACACACACATCACACATCACACATCAAATACACACCACACACACACACCACACACACTACACCACACACACACACCACACCAAACACATATCACACAAACACACCACACCCACACCACACCAAACACACATATCGTATCACACACAAACACACACCACACACATCACACATCACACATCAAACACACTACACCACACACACCACACACACAAACACCCCACACACAGACCAAACACACACACACATCACACACACCACACACACACAAACACACCCTACACACACACACCACACATACATACCTACACCCACACACCACACACATCACACATCAAACACACCCCACACACACACCACACACACACCAACACACACCTCTCACTCCACACACATGCACTCATACACAAACACACCTCACCAGACACACTCCTACACAAACACAACCCTCACCACACGCACTCATACACACCACACACAAACACACCACACTACACACACAAAACACACAAACATACCACACACTCACAAATACACCACATTACACACACAAACACATACCACACATACACAAATACACATTACACACCACACACTACACATACATACACACCACACACACACAAACCACACACACCATAGACATACACACATTAGACCACACACATCACACCACATACACACTCATACACACCACACAAACAGGTAAATGCTTTAATTTACATATTTATCACTCTTCATATTTTAAGATTGATTTGATAGAAATGAATGACCTCCTAACGCCTAATGCTGTAGATCAGAAATTTGTGCCCAAGAAGTAAATTGGGATATAATAGTCCCGAGTAGGAGTCTGCCTTCATTAGGAGTCACAGCACATAGCGTACTATAAAAGGACCTAAATTTTAGCAAGCTATAAAGAAATAACAGTCATTTAACTTAAGTATGCCTTGCAATTGGGGTATTGTAATGCCAAGGTTCTTAGAATGTTCTACCTTCTTTCAAAGTACAATATTAACTTTGGAAGAATTAACATCTGTCAGCTGTGTTGCCCTTGATATCATTAAGCTAATTGATGCGGAGTTCTGTGCTGCTGGGGCCCTCTTAGCTGGGATCCCCTCGGCCACACCGAGGCCACTCGGCCAAAGAGAGGGAGTGGGGTTCCCTCCTAAGGACCCAAACCCTTGCCCTTGAGGCAGAGAAAGCCAAAGAGACAGGTAACAAAGCAAGCAAGGATTGCACCTTGCTTTTATCCTTTACACCTCACATTGGATCAAGATATACTCAGAGAATAAGGCGTCTAGTGTTGGAGAAAAGGTCAATTCCTCCAGAGGAAAAAAAATTATAACAATAAATTTATACCCGTAGTACCTAATAATGCTGGCATACAGCATCACACTTTATGAAATGCCAATTTAAAAAAAGACAATAAGCTCTTTAAAAAGCTGGGAACAAAGCATGCAGAGAGCCACTGTGTCCTTCTGCCTGACTTCCTGAGTTGCAATCCCTCTGCAGCTTGGGGAGTGTGGGATTCCAACAAGCCAGCCCCACAGCCCAGAGCCACTTCTCGTTCCTGCCTGCTGGCTGCATATTTATCGAATGGGGGCTGCTGGTGCGGAGAATTGCAATTTTCCAGGTCTGTGCTAAGAGGCAGAGATTAATGAGCAAGTTCAGGCATTAGCAGTCCCAGGCAAGGGGACTTTCTGCATCTATTGTATTCCCCAAATCAAAAACACAATTCGCATTTCTTCTAGCTTTCCATTTACCAAGTTAGTGCCTTCTTTGGTACTTAAAGCTTTTTCCAAGAGCGAACAATTCTCTTTTGTCCTAAAATAGAAGTATTCTGAAACCCACAGTCTTCGATTGTTCAAATCAAGTTCTCATTAATACAAAGCCTAATTTGGTAGCCAAAAGTAAGAGTTTACTCTGAGCGCCTCTCGGTCATCTATTTCCTATTATTCTGTTTCTCGGGCTTCCATCCAGAGGCACCCTGGCTTATATAAAATGCCCATTGTGGAACTAGATAATCAAATTAGCACAAATCCATGCTTATCGATTACAAAGAATGAGAACTAATGAGATCAGATCTTCCTCCAAATTTATTAAGCGAGGAAGAGCACAAAAAAACAAGGTATAATCATCATTGAAGAAATACTAATTTTTCTGTTGAAAAGGCAAAATTCATTCCTATTTGTATGAATTGCTTAGGCTATCATGACAAAGTATCACACACGGGGTCACTTAAGCAACAGAAATTTATGTTCTCACATCCAGGAGGCTGGAGTCCAAGATTAACGTGTTGGCAGAGCAGGTTCCTCCTAAGACCTCTCTCCTGGCTTGCAGATGGCTTCCCTCTGTGTCCTCACATGAGGATCCCTTTGTGAATGTCTGTGTCCTCATCTCTTCTTCTTATAAGGACAGCAGCCAGACTGGATGAGGGCCCAGCCTGAGGACCTCATTTCAATTGAATTACCTCTATAAAGACCCTATCTCCAAATAAGATCACATTCTGAGGTTATGGAGATTAGGGCTTCAACACATGAATTTGATAGGGAGGGAGTACACAATTCAACCCAGAACCACTAGCCAAATGCCTACATTTTCAAGAAAAAAATGGAGACAATCAGAGAGGTATGATGAGAAACAGCTTGACTAAGGACAGCTTGAATTCAAGTCATGACTCTTGACTGTGGTCAGATTTGCCTTCCTGAGGTTCAAATCCTTGCCCAGGCTTGTTTTTCTCTGGAGAGCATGTGCAGGGACACAGTTTGTAAGGAGTAGAGGGCCATCCCAATGCAGAGGTGCATTGCCCAAGACGGCAGCCGGCAGCCTGGCTTGCCCAAAGCACCCTCCTTCCAGCTTCTCCCTCTACCACCAGGCTGAGAAGCTGGAGGACATCATTCCCCGATGTCTCAGGGGTGGAAGTCTGCCGCACAGGTGAGGGCTGGCCAGGCAGGTGCACTAGAAGGATAGGAGAGGCAGAAGTGCGCATCAGGGGCCAGCCAACCACAGGAAGATCCCACCTTCTGGTAAGCCCTGAGGCAGAGGTACTGGGTTTCTCTGGGGCAGCTGTGGGGACATCCCAGTGTCCTTTGCCTGGTGGCACATGCCAGGCAACATTAGGAGCAGTCAAGCATCTGCTAGAAAGATCTATCGTGTCGCTAAATATCTTCCATATGAATTGTTTCTGGCTGGACACCATCTAGGCTGAGCTCTCTGCCTCCCAGAATTTTTTTTTCTTTAATTTTTATTTTAAGCTCCAGGGTACATGTGTAGGATGTGCAGGTTTGTTACATAGGTAAACGTGTGCCATGGTGATCTGCTTCACAGATCAACCCATCGCCTAGGTATTAAGCCCAGCATCCATTAGCTATTCTTCCTGATGCTCTCCCTCCCAATAAGCCCCAGTGTGTATTGTTCTCCCCCATGCATTCATGTGTTCTCATCATTCAGCTCCCACTTATAAGTGAGAACATGTGGTGTTTCATTTTCTGTTCCTGTGTTAGTTTGCTGAGGATAACAGCTTCCAACTCCATCCACGTCCCTGCAAAGGACATGATCTCATTCCTTTTTTAGAGCTGCATAGTATTCCATGGTCTTTATCCAGTCTATTACTGATGGGCATTTAGGTTGACTTCATGTCTCTGCTATTGTGAATAGTGCTGCAATGAACATATACACGCTTGTGTCTTTGTAATAGAATGATTTATATCCCTTTGGGTATATACCCAATAATGGGATTGCTGGGTCAAATGGTATTTCTGCTTCTAGATCTTTGAGGAATTGCCACACTGTCTTCCACAATGGTTGAATAATGGTTGAGCTAAGACATACATAGGTTCAAAACAAAGGGATGGAGGAAAATTTACCAAGCCAGAAATTATTAAAGGTCTTATAATAAAAGCCCTTTCTTCCAAATCCAACAAGAGTAGATTCTGCTGTCTGCACCACCACCTCCTATAGCCATAACCAGTTAGACTGGGGCCAGGGGAGGAGAGAAATATTATATAAAGAAAAGGGGTAATCTTGTGCTTTTAGAGATCAGATTGCAAGATTTTAGTTTATTTACATAGAAAATATGTTAATATTTACTCGAGAATAACTTGAAGGAAAGTGGGTAAATGAAAATGCTTTTGGGAGTGAGAATAACATACCAAATGCCTTCTTCTCTCTGAGCACATGGAAAGAATTGAAATTCCTTCCCAGGAATCAGCAGCTAGCTGCCCCAACAGCAAACCACAGAAAAGCCACAGTTTGCCCTTCTTCACACTCTGACTAGGAAACATAGAAAAAAAATCTCTTCAGGCTGATTGGAGGGATAGAGGACAAATTAGTCATCCAACAATTCAGATAACCCCTCTGTGCAAGCTAACCAGCTTGTAAGCACCCAATAAACTCCAGGAGCAGAAAGGTGTTGTGGCTGAGTCTGTTCATTGCCTTTGTTTATCCCCTTTTTCTTAGTTCCAAAACCCCTGATCTGGGGCTGAGCACATGGTTATCCAGAAAACAGTTTCCAGCCTCCTTACTGTTGGATGTGTCCCTGCAACTAGGATTTGGTCAATATGATGTAAGTGGAAAAAAGAAATCTTACGATAAAATTAACAGACACCCCTTGCCCATTTTTTCCCTCTGTTCATATCTGTTTTCTGTTGGCTGAAATGTAGGTGCAATGGCTGGTGCTCATGCAGCCATATTCAACCATAAGTTGGAAGTCTTATGCCAAATATTGCCAAACAGTGACAGATGCTTGATGCTCCTTGAAACTACACAGACTCCCCTTGACCATCTACCTCCAGAATCCTTCTATATGACAGAGAAATAACCTTCTCTATTGTTTAAGCAGTTGTTATCTTGGGGTTTCAGCTTCTTTTAAATGAACCTCATCTTCTACACGTGTGTGATAATCAGTGTATAATTCATCAGGAAACATTTTATTTCAAGTTGATAATGGAAATTCACATGTATTTTACTGTGTATTGGATGGGCTCATTTCCTTCCCTGAACTGCACATTTTATCTTTTGCTTACGTGCATCCATTCAGTTTCTGAAATGGGTGGTCATTTCTTCATAGTATTTAATGCTTTAAAAATCCCAGAGATTTTTTTTTTTTTGCAGAAATACTTCCTTTATATTCAGTAACCTTTGGCAACATTCCCTCTGAGGCTTCCCTGCTTCATGTTATTTTTTTCTCCTTGTGGGACATTTGCTTCTCCTTCCATACCCTTCCCTTTGCAGTTGTGGAAACTGTGTAGTTTTTCAAGTGCCTGAAAACACAGGAAATTGATGTGAGCAGGTCCTGCTCCAGGGACGGTGACCTCCCTAGTCAGATTTCAGGCCACTCCCTTCATTCTGCACTAGGTCTATTTGTTTCTTCCTTTCACAGCTTTGGAATAATTGGAGTTTTCCTTTTTCTCTGATATTCCCTGGTTTTACCAGGTATCGACTGACTCTCCTGAGGGTGCTCACCACCTTCTAGGACTCACATGTGCCCCAGCTTCTAAAATTTCAAATACCAGATTTAAAGCATTAAACTCTAAAAATTTCACCACCATAGAGAATTTCATACAGTTCCCCAGTTTTTAAATAGAAAAAAAGTCAAATGCAATCATAATTACAGGACATTTTTAAGTAGTCTCAAAGGAACATCAATTAGCCTAATTAATATAAGAACCTCACTTGAACCCACTGAGTTTCTTCTAATTCTCCTTGCCCCATAATTCTACAAAGAATTTTACTTTCTTCTTTTTTTTTTCTTTTTTTTTTTTTTGAGACAGCTCTGTCACCCAGGCTGGAGTGCAGTGGCATGATCTCGGCTCACTGCAACCTCTGCCTCCTGGGTTCAAGAGATTCTCCTGCCTCAGCCTCCTGAGTAGCTGAGATTATAGGCACACGCCACCACACCCAGCTAATTTTGTGTGTGTATGTTTTTAGTAGAGATGGTGTTCCACCATGTTGGCCAGGCTGATCTCGAACTCCTGACCTCAGGTGATCCACTTGCTCCCAAAGTGCTGGGATTACAGACATGAGCCACCACGCCTGGCCAAAGATTTTGACTTTAAGAAGGAAAGGTAGAAGCCAAGGCAAATGGAGTGTGTTCCAGGGTTTTGTGAAGAAGGAAGACAAAGGCTGGTAAGAGCCCCCAAGAGCTTCATGAACAATGGGGAAAGCAAAGAGCAGCTTGGGTTGAAAAATCATCACATGTACATCAGAAAGGGACTAAAGCTGCTTTCAAAAGTGGGTACTCTGGGCCTTTTCTCCTTACAAATACTCTTTATTCTCTTTGGTGCTGTCTGATTTAAATGCCTTTCTCCCACAGTGTGTGTGTGCATCTGGCATCCTTCATGACACACGTTTCTGCGTCCTTCTTGGCCCTGGCTGTCAACTCAGCTGCTGGGCCATGCTATCTCATGGGGCACTTCCCGCCCTGGCTCTTCACCCTGAGCTTCTAATCCCTGCAGACAGGTGTTTCTCTTTGCGTATTTCCAGGGATTACAAGCCTTCTTAAATGCACAAGACTATTCGGTAGACGGGTCTGTTTTGTATGGAATTTCACGTGGGGTACAACTCTCTGGCAACTCCAAAGGGGGTCTGTGAAGCAAAGCCAGGGTCAAGTCCCTCCCAGGTCCAACCACGCAGCTGAGCTGATAGACGCCCATCACTGCTCAAAATCTCAAGCCTGAGGCTACCACCAACCTGGAATCTCCATTCAGTCATGGGTCCTGTGTTTCGTTTCATGCTCTACACTTTTCACGCATGGCAAGAAAATGGCAGAGCAGAAATAGACGCTACCGTATACGACTCTGAAGTCCCATATTTTCAAATACCCTTCAAACATGCTGAACATGACTGGGCATCCCACATCAGAATGTTGTCATAAGGACAGAGAGGGCTGTTGCCCAGAGGTGTGTGCCTGGATTTGTAAGTGAGTATTTTATGTCTAAACAAAGATGGGTGCTGATTTCTAGGGACGGCCAGCCCTGTGACAGTTAAACTTCACAATCTCTGCTTTCCTAATCCACAGCCACAGCCCCTCACGTCCCTTCTCTTTGTAGGTTTGGAGCAAAGACATAGCACTTCTATTTGCTTTTTTTAAAATGACACTATCTTAAGAGCTCATGGCCAGGCACTTGCTGATTTCTTGGAAATACCTTTTTAAAGATGGGTCATTTTAAGCTCTGTACCTTTTTCTACTTATCAGGAAGATGAGTTCTTATATTTATAAAAAGAT
This sequence comes from Homo sapiens, assembly GCF_000001405.40. Lineage (NCBI taxonomy): Eukaryota > Metazoa > Chordata > Mammalia > Primates > Hominidae > Homo > Homo sapiens. The sequence goes on along the minus strand of NW_025791814.1, from coordinate 49,109 downwards.
ACTAAAATTAAATACCCCAGAAGTAAAGTTATGTGGCATTCTAGACTAAGTAGCTGAACTACATATAGTAACCTGGACTCAAAAAGATTAACTAAGAGTAGAGTTTTGGTGTTAGTTTTAAGCAACAAGTAATAATGTCCTCACTTTGGGAGGCCTAGGCGAGAGGATCCCTTGAGGCCAGGAGTTTGAGACCAGCCTGCGCAACATAGTTAGACCTCATCTCTTCAAAAAATAAGTTATCTGGTTATAGTGGCCCGCACCTGTAGTCCCAGCTACTCTGGAGGCTGAAACAGGAGGATTGCTTGAGCTGGGAGTTCAAGGTTAGAGTGAGCTAAGATCTCACTACTGCACTCCAGCCTGGGAGACAGAGCAAGACCTTGTCTCTAAAAAATAAAAATAAAAATAGATTAAATTAAAATAATAACGTTCTGACACCGAATCACCCCGGAAAATGGCATTGGGAAGTTCTTCCCAGGGTTGTGAAAAGTTCTGAAGCTCCAGACTTTTTTTATATTGGTTCAGGTAGATGAACACCTAGGCAGAATTCAGATGGGGCCTGGTTAAATGTGACCATTTAACCAGGGCCTGTTTTATGTGGCACCTTGGCAGGAAAGCAAGGCTCCTGCCCTTTGTGGGTGCCATCGGAGCATCCCCATCCAAAAAGCTTTTACAAACCAAAAATAAAGTGGATTACTTTTATTCTTTTCAAGAAATTTCAAAGACAGAAAGAAATTTTCTGGGATCAGGGCAACAGGATCAAAAATTAATCAGTTTGGAAATACTTTAAAAAAAAAAAAAAACCTTTCAAAAGACCAACAATGAAATATCATCCCTTGACACATTCTAATTATCAGCAGAGGTAGTAGAAGCATTTCTGTCTAAACCAAAAATTTAAGCAGGGATAAAATACCCATTTGGAGCTGCCATGGCTCAAGGGAGCATTAACAGAGGCTGATGTCAAGAAACTGATGTCAAGAAACAAATTTAGATAGAATGTTAGAAAAAAAAATGTCTAACATCAGTCTATTAGAGATTGCAAACATCTCCCAGGAGCAGTAGCATCTGACCTTTTGCTAAAGTCATTTTAAGCTGAACTGAGGAAATACACAACAGGGAGTCATATTTCACCAGCTGTGAATGGCCGGGGTGACCTAATAGGCCGTTTCTAGCCCAGATAGGTAATTGGCAACGTTTTATAGTTTTGTTCAACTGTCAGATGTGTGAATAGAATAAGAATGAATATCTCATCTGCAGGTAGCTCATCTTGTCTTCTAAAACCCTATCTCCTTCTTCCACAAACAAGTCTGGATTATAATTTCAAAACTACGGTTCAACTCTTCCACACACAGCCATCATTTAAGGTGACAATAGGCTGGATTTATAGAAAAGACAAGTGAGGCTTTTTCAAGAAACAGCTATAACTCAGTATCCCATTGCCATGGGGCTGGGGAGCACCTATCCCGGCAACCTCTGGCTGAGGTTTCCCCTAGTGCTTGGTTGGTACCAGGTCACGTTGACGAGGCCCACAGGTGAAAAGGTTATAAAGTTTCTAAAGAATGTTGGCTACCTTCTGCCTGAAAGATCGCAGTCACACTTTAATTTCATGTATGCCAATTGCCACCAGAGGGAGGCACCCACTTCTTTTGTGTTTCTGTCGAGTGGACCACTGTTGTCTACACCTGTGCTCACCTCGAGGCCAGTCACTGGGGTGCCAGCCTCCTTTCTAAACTGGACATATGCTACAGAAAGATCCAGGAAAATAAACCCTGTTTCCCTGTTTTACTGTCAGATAGTTGGAAATGCAGTTTTTCTAGAGGAAATGTTAAATTTTCCCATTTTCACCCATTTTGTTGAAATAGTTGTTATTTCAACAAAAATAACTACTTGTTATCCTGTGTTCACAGCCGGTGACAATCCCATTCAGATCCCATCCATTGCCCTTACTTTCCCCTCCACTGCCTCCACCAAGAAAATACATCGTATTTCTCCTGTGGACTCATGTGCGATATCCCCTTGATGCTTACAGAAAATAAAATCAAAAGGAGTCAAATGTCCTACACTGTCCCAGGAAAGAGACAGCCACAGAATCATAAAGAGTCAGAATTCGACAAGCGCCCAAAGACAATGTCGTCGTACAATGCTGCAACCCAAAGAGATAAAATGATTCACTGCAGGTGAACCAGGAACAAATGAGTAAAGCATAGAATGGCAGGGACAGAACAAATGGGAATTCACCCAAGCCCCACCCTTCATGAGCAAACCAAGAGTCGGATGAGGTTTATTGGCAGGCCTTCAGGCCAAGCAGCTCAGGGGCCCTGCAACCGGGGAAATGGCTAAAGGGCGAGGAAGACCCTAAAAACAGTCAGCAAAAATGCCCAGCTCCTGCTGGCATGGAGGCAGCCTGGCATCAGCTAATCCATGGAAAACCCCAGCCAAAATCGGATGCTAAACATTGCTCTATCTTATTCTGAAAGTTCTATGAAACAATTACTGAGCTCAGAGTTACCTGGGAGGAACCTTCAAAGCACTTTCCCCAACCAGCAAATGCATTATAATCTACAACCCAGCATCTGCATGGACCATTTCTCATGGCCTGGCCCATTTTCAAAGCTCACTATAAAAACACTTTTTTTTTTAATGGACTGGTGGGAAATTGGATTTTGGTGAGTGCACATCCATCCAAACTGCCAAAAGCTTTATGTTTGTGTGGAAAGAGCGAAACTTGAAGTGTAAGAAAGGTTGGGTGAGAGGAGGATCATGGTCCCACGATGATTAGCCCCGTTTGCGATGACTGCTGTGGGAAGCGAGGTCTGCCCTCCTACACAGGCCAGGTCTGTTGCACTTGGATTTGGTGAACTGGTAGCAACTGGAGTCTGAAGTGAGACTTGCTTCACTCACATCAGTGCCCGGCCACTAAAGTGTCTCTCTGACATCCGAGGAGACTTTGCTGTCTAAATGAACGCCAGAGCATGATTCGATTTCCAATTGTTTTCAGGGTCTGGGATGGTAGAATAGTAGAGAGAGAAGAACACACCTTAGAAATATTGAAGAAGGCTTGGGAGGCCGAGGCGGGCAGATCGCCTGAGATCGGGAGTTTGAGACCAGCCTGAACAACATGGAGAAACCCCATCTCTACTAAAAATACAAAAATTAGCCAGACGTGGTGGCGGGCGCCTGTAATCCCAGCTACTCGGGTGGCTGAGGCAGGAGAATCGCTTGAACCCGGGAGGCAGAGGTTGCGGTGAGCCAAGGTCACGCCATTGCACTCCAGCCTGGGCAACAAAAGCGAAACTCCATGTCAAAAAAAAAAAAGAAAAGAAAAGAAAGGAAGGAAGAAATTTTGAAGAAGCTGCTTGCCAAGCACAAAAACAGCAGCAAGCATCCCCTTCACATAATCATAAGTTCCTGAAGGGAGAGTTTTCATAAACGTTGTGATGGAGGCCACGTCGCTGACTTCCCAGTTCCTCCTCCCGGCACACCCAGCCATATCTTGGTCTATCCAATCAATACGTATTTCCACTGATCACAGTTCTACACCATTCCACATCCCAAGAGGAAAAAAGGAAATGGCAACTGGAACAGAAAAACCATGACCAGAATGCAAGGAGATCCCAGCAGGTGAATAAGAAGCATCTGCTCCTTAGTGAATAGGAGAAGGGGGTAACTTTCAAAGGAAATACAATTTTAAAATTAAACCTAGTGATATGCAAATAATTTGGCTTCTTGCTCATGATGAGACTGAAGGAAATAACATGTCAGAAAAACAGAGCAGCGACACGGAACAACAGTCTGTAAGAAAACGGTGTGCTCAGCCTGAGCAGATACAGGATCTGCCCGAGGAAAAAGCGATAGTAAAAGAACAGATCAATATGCCATAATAGCCATGAGAAATTGTCATTATAATAACTGTAATATCTACTCCTTCGAATTAATGCTGGAAATAGTGAAGTCTATAAATGGCTGCATTTTAAATTCAATGATCTCACAGTACTTGTTATTCTTCTTCCTTCTTGAACGTTCAGAATGTACTTGACATTAAAGGGGCCCTGATTTCATTTCTTCACCATGGTGCAGAAAAGAGCAATTCCCCTGGTTGTGTCGGGGGAGGAGAGAGAAGAACTTAAAAGGAAATACGTGCAATTTAAATAAGGAGATGGTCATTTCTCATATTTTTAAGCAGCTGATCCTGCAGTCACAAATTTGAAGTTTAATTCAAGGTTATGAAGCCAAGATATCCAAGAGGGACCTGAATGAAAGCAGATTGGCTCCTTGGCGCCTCTCCACAGGGGTGGAGGCAAAGCTTAGCCTCTCCTCTGAGACCTCAGTCCTGCCTCCCAACCCAGGCCAACACCTACAGCCCCAGGCACAGTAGCAGCTACTCCAGCCTCCCAGAGAGCACCTGGAGCCGCGGGCACTCCCACCCTCCTCCCCACCTTTCCTTTGGGCCGAGGCAGCTGGGGAGTCATCCAGAGACTCTGCTCAGTGGGAGCAGAGCCTGGGGCGCCACTGAGCCCTTGAGAAAGCAGCTTTCTGGAAGCCCACAGTCTGTGGGTGTGTGGCTGGAAGCTACTCTCCTCCTCCCTCCTGGTCTGACAAACCCCAGCTTACAGGGGAGAACCGTGCCTGCCCAGTCCCTTCCCCATTTCCCAGTTGGCCTGCCATCTAGCGGGGCCTTCCGTTCAGACTGGGTGGAGGTGTGAACAGCTCTGTATCCACCCTCACCCACCTTCCAGCCAGCTTCCTCTTGTGTCTCCTCTTTGGCCACCTCCTTGTCCCCTTAATGACACCTGAGGAGGGATGAGGGGCTTACACCGACTGTGGGGAACACACATTAACCTTCACAGGGACAGCCTCATCGCTCCAGGAATGTCAAATATGTCATCCTTAAAAAAGAGATCTGACAGTTTTCTTTCCTTTAGAAATACTAAGCCAGCCAATTACACTACACAGTTAACATGAAAGCATGGTTTCAATAAACCACTTTTCTTGCTTTTTTTTTCTGAAGCCAATCCAGAATTTGTATACAAAAATCATTCCCACTTTGTCTTTGGGAAGCAGCAATCACTTATCGTATAATAAGCTACATTTTTTAATTAGTGGGGACAAACAGGGGAACAGGGTGACCTGGCCCAAAGGCCAGGGAGGGAAGTACATTGGCAACAACTGGAAAAAGGCACTTGGTACAATGGAACCCTGCATTTCTTGCTTCTCAGATTCACTCTCCTCTCTTCTCCTGCTCCACCTAATCATTGCTCTGTAGTTTTGGCTGGGAAAGTCCAACGGGTAGAAGTGATTAGAAGGCACTTTTTTTTTTTTGAGACAGAGTCTCACTCTGTTGCCCAGGCTGGAGTGCAGTGGCACGATGTCTGCTCACCTCAATCTCCGCCTCCTGGGTTCAAGTGATTGTCATGCCTCAGCCTCCCAAGTAACTGGGATTACAGGTGCCCGCCACCACGCCCAGATAATTTTTGTATTTTTTGGTAGAGATGGAGTTTCACCATGTTGGCCAGGCTGGCCTCAAACTCCTGACTTCAGGTGATCCACCCACCTCGGCCTCCCAAAGTGCTGGGAGCCACCACGCAGGGACTTTATTTCTTAATTCTAGCAACCTACTAGTCTCTGCAAAGTTGCCACAGCTTAGCTGTACCTTTCAACAGGCCAAAGCCCCTGTCTGTCCGCTCCTCCAGATAGGCCTCCCTGGGATTCTGGTTTCTCCTTTTCTGGGTCTGCATCTCCCCCGAGCTATGTTCTAGATTGGCTGCTAGAGAGCTTTCTTGGGTGACCCTGGGGACTTCTGCCCGGGGTCCGAAGCATGTTCTGTGGTTGCTCTAAGGGTATCCTGGAGACACGCCCAGGGCTGCAAGGCTGACTCTTCCCTGCCTCATGTGGAGGGGAGAACACATCTAGCTTGAGAGGGAGATCTACTCTTTGAGGACAATTCAGCCCACTCTGCCCACTGACAGCATTATTTTCCAAGGAGAAATATTAGCATTTTTCCGTGCTTTTGTAATCCCAGATGTACCTAATATGAAACCTACAAATTTAAACCATCTTATCATTTGGCCCAGCCTGAGATCTAGGTGGGGTTTTGCTTCTGAAAAACTGCCTGCTGTGCACATTAATTCTATAAATAAGATTATGAGTGTTTCACCTACTTAAAAGAGCAAAAGTGTTTTCAAGCGCGTGAGAAATACTATTTCCATAAAAGTAATTGACAAGCAGAACCTGAAACATTTGAAACCTGGAATATCTCCTGCTTGGGGCAGGTTTCCAAAGGCTAGAGGGATGCACATTTTCCTGGTTCAAGCTGCTTCATGGCCAAGATCTTGAAGATCTTTAAGAGTAATTCATTGAGAATAATGTATAACTTTACTTTTTCACCAAGGTGTATAAGCTTTCTCTGTATGATGTGGAATGAAATTCTATTTCAGCTGATCTAAAGCTGTCCACTGCTCAATCTCAAAAAGAAAGAAGGAAGAAAAGGATGAAAGGTAGGAAGAAAAGACGGAGGGAGGGAAGGAAGGGAAGGAAAGGGGGAAGGAAGGGGAAGAAGGAGGAGCGGAAGGAAGGAAGGAGGGAGAAAGAGAAAGGGTGAGGAAGAGGGCAGGTGAAATATGAAGAGGCTATAAATGAACATGTTGCTTTGATGTTTTAATTTTGAAAACTATCATGGCTGTCCCTATTATTAGTCTGAGATCACCCCTATTTGCCAGAGGCTAGTTAACTAAACTGATGGGATAATGGTACTATGGATACAATAGTTTCTGGTTTGGCTAAGATGTAGCCCATTAACTTTATTCTGTTCCAGGGGCTTAGACCACAGCCCATCCAAGTTGCCCATTTACAAACAAGACCCTGGTCAAGAGGGAAGTCAGGAGAAAGTGTAAATAGAGACAACCTGGTGTGTTTGGACTGTGGGTCAGATGACCAAAACTTTCCTCCTCTTATTTATGTGACCTTAGGACAATCCTGAGTTCACCAGCAACTTTGCCTGAGATCCTCTCCCAACCCACCTGCAAGGCCATGGTAACATCAAAGGGAAGACAGCATGGGGGAGCATTTTGAGACGGAGTCTCGCTCTGTCACCCAGGTTGGAGTGCAGTGGCATGGTCTCGGCTCACTGCAAGCTCTGCCTCCTGGGTTCACGCCATTCTCCTGCCTCAGCCTCCTGAGTATCTGGGACTACAGGCAGCCACCACCACACCCCCGGCTAATTTTTTGTATTTTTAGTAGAGACAGGGTTTCACCGTGTTAGCCAGGATGGTCTCGATCTCCTGACCTCGTGATCCACCCGCCTCAGCCTCCCAAAGTGCTGGGATTACAGACATGATCCACCGTGCCCGGCCACATTTTTTTAAACTATGCAAGCCTATAGATGTAAAGAATTGCAGCTAGAGATGGGTAGGAATCTCCGCTTCTGTCCACAAGGCTTCAAGCACTTTCACACCCAAGACTGATCAGAAGCACCATACTTATCCGAGGTGTTCCTTGCTCAATGAAGTTATTATAATGCTCACTCTGAAGGGCAAAACAAACAAAAAGTCACTCTTCTAACTGAGATGGATGTTAATAAATTCCCTCAGCACTAATCCCTAAAGTAACCTTCAGGCAGAATCAGCTCACTTGTTGAGCAATATCACCCATTGACTGGGTTTGTCTGGAGACTGCGATGGCTTTAAATGCCCGGCTTAATAAGCAATTCCAATGTCATTTTTTCCCCATCTGGATCAATATCAGAAGCAGCTTTGTGTGTCCATTTCTTCCTTCCAGAATAGAAACTCTTTAGAGTGTTTGGAGCCGAAAGCACAAAGGACCCCATCTCTTGAGCATCAGTCACTTTTGTTTTGATTTTTTTTTTTCTGATTTCTTCAAATATGGAAAAGGAAGGAGATAAAGGGCCAAGAACCTCCAGATGGAGACCGGAGCTGTTTGAGTTTTTACCTTGAAGGCGCCACCACCCATGTGCCTCTGGTATTCACAGCAGCACTTGCTATCTCTCACTATGGTGGATTCTGACCTTTAGGCAGCTCAGGGTTTCATTGCCCTAGCGGGAAACAGATTGAGAGCTTTCTAGCCTGGGATATGTTGCACACCTTAGACATTAATGACTTTAGGTAGGTGCTTTTTTCACAGCCAGTGCTGTCTGTGAAAGTTATAACCTTTCTGACATTTCTGACACACGTTGCAGCTGGATACTCAAAGTTGTCTCTGTTCCTTTTCAAAGAGGCTCATCTTGGCTTGTTAAGTTTCCATGTGGACTATTGAGATTTGTGCAGAATTGGCATATTAGACCCTCAGTGTGGACTCAAGCTTCACCTCCCCCTGGATTCCAGACACCTGCACCCTCTGGCCTACAGGAACAGCAAAACTCTGAATCGCAGGCTGCTCTGTCTTCCGTGTACCATGATCCATCCTCAAACTCTGATATGACCACAATCCACATCTGAAGCAGAGCAGAGCTGAGTCACTGCTGCAGGCAGGGGCAGGTGTATTCCCTCTGTAGCCTTTCTAGAATGCATTTCTTCCTCTTGCCTTCCATCCAGCCACCCTGTGCCCAGGAGCAAGATCAGCCAGGCAGCATCCTCTGCCAAAACTGACCTCCTCTCTCGGGCATGATAGTGATCACTCAATCATCCTTGGTTCCTGGACTCAACATCAGTTTCTTCTTACTCCAAGCTGATGCCCAGCCTTGCACACGAAGCCTTACTCCACACAATTCCACATACCAAGGAGAGTTGACAGATAAAATATATCCTAAGCAAAATCTGCCTAAGTCAGCACGTAGGTCTTGAAAGATAATCTTGCACCAAGAACACAGACACAAGTGGGAGGGGGATGAATGTCTACTGGGAGATATGGAGCCACAAAGGGCCAGGGGTAGGGGGTAGTGAAATTTCTTTGGAAATAAATTTTTGAATTATATTTTTCTATTTGAAAAATCACAGTCCATTTAATGGTAGCATGTACATCTGTCTGCCTATAAATGCAAGTCCTTCTTGGGACCTCTCTCTCTACCTACTTAAGAGCAGAAAAATAAGAAAGTGACTCTGTGTGTGTACATGTGTGTGTGTTTCCTCAAAATCCAAAGGTGAGATAAACTTAAACTTTTATGGTTTGGGATTGATTTAAAACAGGGAGAGGAAAGTACCCAGTACATTAACATTTCATCTTATTTATTCTTGGCAATCATATAATCATATCAAATCAAACTAAGTCTTTTTTTTTTTTTTTTTTTTGTTTTTTTTGAGACGGAGTCCCACTCTTTAGCCCAGGCCGGATTGCAGTGGCACAATCTCGGCTCACTGCAAGCTCCGCCTCCCAGGTTCACGCCATTCTCCTGCCTCAGCCTCCCGAGTAGCTGGGACTACAGGCGCCCGCCACCGCGCCCGGATAATTTTTTGTATTTTTAGTAGAGACGGGGTTTCACCGTGTTAGCCAGGATGGTCTCGATCTCCTGACCTCGTGATCCGCCCGCCTCGGCCTCCCAAAGTGCTGGGATTACAGGCGTGAGCCACCGCGCCCAGCCCAAATCAAACTAAGTCTTAAGTACTCCTAGAATATCCCCACACCTACTGAAACTTCTCAGGCCATAGTCTCTCTCCCAAGGAAGGGGCACAGGTATTCAAGCATGGAGCCCGAGCTTGTGCAAGGCTACTCACACTCAAAGAAACACAACGACAGTGAGTCCCACAGGTAGTTCAAAATAATACCTTTCCTCTGTAGCATTTACCTACAGCCTGGATGTGAGGGGATTCTTTTCTTAAAATCAGGTGTGTTCATACACCTTCCACCCGCAGAAACAGAGCCTTGTAGAAACAAATGCATCACAGCTCGCTAAGTCAAGAGAAATCCATTCCAGTTTTAGAAATTCAATTTAGCTTGGGTAAGCCTCCAAGCTCTGAAAGTAAGCCCCATCACGAGGTTTATTATTCATAAATCTCTTTTTCAGGTTGGAAGGCTCCCAGCAGCCACTCTGCTTCCAGTATTTTTCTGCTTTTGTGTGTCAATAAAAAAATTTAACTCTTGGAGTCTCTCCGGACAACCAGTATCAAGGTATGGATCAAGAAATCCAGCAATGTAGTTTCCCCCAAAAATCTTTCGGTTGTGTTCAAATTACTAATTTGTGGTGAATAATCTAGATTCAGATGGTTGTGTCTATATTTGTAAACATGTTTGAATTTAATTTAGCCATTTAAATGAGACAGAAAGATTTATAATGGAAGCTATGAGCTATTGTTTCTTTCAAGTAGAAAGTTATTTCCAGAAACAAATGAAATCTGTGGCTTAACTAATCAAATGATGAAGGTGCTTTGCTCATAGAGGAATGAAAAATCTCTGAACCTCCAAGCCCTGAAACGTTTATTTTCTACATTAAAAAAAATTATAACCCTAATATTTCTGAAAAACCTGTCTTCCTACAGCAGATGATACCACAAAATCTAGTTCTAGTAGAAACATCGGGTTTGAGTGTGTGTACTGAGGTTAACATCCTGGGAAAATGAGAAGGATTTTGAAACATTCTGGAGAGTATGCAGTAGGTCATATTTCACATCAATAAATACCATGTTGACAACAATAACAAAAATAAATATTGAATGTATGAGAAATTTCATTCCCAGAAAATGGTGCTCTCAAGATAATATTCAATGTAATGAAATGGCAGCAAAGCCCAGGAATCTAAATACCTTCTGAAGTTTTAATGTACCTGACTTGGGTCTTTTGTGATCCAAATAATTTCAAGGCACCTGTAGTTCACTCCCACAGTCTTTATTGCTTTATACATTAAATGGAGACCTCAACTAAATTTACAATATTTGGATTACAAACACCCTGACTTGTACAGACAATTAATACAATTGAGAATGTTCCTTTTATTATGAAGTGTTACTATCCAAATTTCATAACATTTTGATGGTTTTTTTAATACTTCATATTTCAATACTCAAGGGTCCTTGCTCCTTCAAGACATGTAGACAGCTTCATTTGATATTAATAGGAAATATACATTAACATAATAGATCTCCCTAGATACCTATAATGACAGAATAAAATCATTTGAATTTCAATGGAATGTAATACTAGGTTAAAATGGAAATTCCAAGATGATCGTCTCATATCAGGAATTTAAGAATAAAAAATTAAGTAACTTCAATTCTTTAGGAAAATGTTTTTTAGATTACTTCTAGAAGTTTTTACCCTCATCTTTCTTGGGCTGTTCCAGTTTTTGTCTTTGCTCCTTTTTAAAGGCAAAAGCACAGACTTTAAATTATAATAAAGTATCACGTACAAATATCATATATAGGCAGTTTTAGCTGAAATTAAAGTATAGCATGTTAATAATAATTTACATTTATACATTGCCATTATCCAGTAACTGTAAAATAATCTCAAATTCACTTTTCTACCCAAAAGTGACTATCATTTAATATCTAGAATTATCTAATGAAAAGCCTTATTCATAGCATCAGGAATATTTCCATTTAATTAATTTTTATACCTCCATAAAAAACCTCACTCAGTTTCCACTGGTGTGGACTGGTTTTCAGCTAAAAGAAATTCCATGTCTTTGAATGGCAGAAAATGGCATCACTTATAGTAGCCGGTAATTCCCTTTGGTGCAAAGCACTGAGCATGTCAGCATGGTTTGAAAGACCAATAGGATGTCAAGATAAAGCCAAGGGGCAGAGACATCGAACACATAGGACCTAGTCCTGGCTTCGTCACCATGTGCCTGGTCTTCAGGCTCCTCAAGGCATGACATGAGACATGCTGAGCAGTAGTTCCCAAAGTGTGAACCAGGTACCCTGGGGGGTGCCTACATCCTTTAAGGGAGCCCAAAAGATCAAAAACATTTTTGGTCTTATAAAAGATATTATTATTATAAAAGGTAAGAGTTTGATCTTAAAGGATATTATTTGCTCTTTTAAATCTCATACTCTCACAAGTGAGCAGTGGAATTTTCCATAGGCTACACATCACATGATATAACAGATTGAACACAGAAGCCAGTATGAAAATCCAGCTGTCCTCTGTCAAACCAGACTTTAAAGAGAGTTGCAGAAATGTAAAATTGCCACTTTTTACTAAATATCCTTTTCCATTTTGGAAAATATAATGACTTTTCATTTTTTAAAATGTTACTTACATTCACATGTAGTGGGTTTATTATTTTATTTTTAATAAATTAATAAGAAAAACCATTTAAAACTTTCTCCATTTTAATTTCTAATATAGGAGACAGTGTATGGCAGATACACCTGATATCAATAGCGTAACTTAAGCATACCCTGAGAATGACCCTATGGTCTAAGAAGAATGTGTGCTTGGAGTCGAGTTCCGAGCTAAGGAATCTGGGAGTGGCCAGTATAGAGATTCATTCTTATCTATGAGGAACATCTGAATTCCCAGCCCATCCCATGGGATGCAGGCCATACAGGGGATTGGGGACATTTGTTTTGGAATGAATGTAGATTGCCAAGTAGAAGTTGCTAGAGGGAGGGTGCTAAGTGAAAACGCTGTGTAAACTGCATGCTTGTTACAGGCAGCTGTGGTTCTTTTATCCAGCCCACCGCCACTGGACTGCCCTATAGGTAACTCCCCTCAATAAATCCTATGTCTTGTTCACTGGCTCCAGGTCTTTTCTTCAGTACCATCTCTATAAGAGTCAGTAGGGTTCCAGCATGACAAACATCAATAGATATCACCAACATAAACAAAAGTTCTTTGGGGTCCTCAAGAATTCTTTAAAATGGAAAGGAGTTGTGAGAACAAAAATGTTGGCTGGGTGCAGTGGCTCACACCTGTAATCCCACCACTTTGGGGGGCCGAGGCGGGTGGATCAGCTGAGTTCAGGAGTTCGAGACCAGCCTGGCCAACATGGTGAAATCCTGTCTCTACTAAAAATACAAAAATTAGCCAGGCGTGGTGGTGGGTGCCTGTAATCCCAGCTACTCAAGAGGCTGAGGCAGGAGAATCACTTGAACCCTGGAGGCAGACGTTGCAGTGAGCCGAGATTGTCCCATTGCACTCCAGCCTGGGCAACAAGAGTGAAACTCTGTCTCAAAAAAAAGTTGAGAATCACGACAATAGAGGATCTCTGAGAAGTCTTCTGACTGTAAAACTCTAATTCTAAGGTTGTGAGGTTCAGTGGAAAGGAACTTGCATGAACAGATGGCTACGAATGTATGAACTGGGAAAATCAGTGGAGGCTCACAGCGCCCTATGCTCCCCTATGGCAGGCAGTGGGTCCTTCCTCATATAGGCAACTACAATATTGCTCCTCCCTTTTAAGCCCCATCCTTTGCTCCTTCCTCTGCTTCCTGCCTTCCTTGCCAGTACCCCACACACCCACCCCAACTCACACACAGGAGACAGGAAAAGCCCTGGGCAGCAAAGGAAGAGCCATTGGCCTCATGGAAAACCTTGTTTCCTTCTTCTCCCAGCCCCCTAGCTCCAATTAGGACATTGTGGAGCCCCCACCTCTCTACTTATTGATATGATGACCCCTTTACCCAGGGAACACTGCACTCACCCTGCCCAATAGGACTGCCCTAAATGGGTGGGCATATTGGCAGGCTGCAGACGCAGAGCAACATTCTCATACTTGAGTCTTGCTCAGCTCAGACCCACCACAGAGGCTCCAAAGGGGTTGTGAGGCCCCAGGGAATTTTAACCGATGGTATTTGAGATTGGCATTATCCACAATCTGATTGATGGACACTAGCATCAATTTCATCTAGTTGGAAGCAAGAGTCATTTTCCATAAAAGGAGAGTTCATCTTGAGTTAACAGAAAGGAAGAACACCCAGAGTCTCACCTCACCGGAACTATGCTGTGGCCCTTGGTGCATACCACTGGGTATTTTTTATTATTATGCTTGTTCTTATGTCAATTGCTAAAGTTAGAGACCTGGGGTTCCAACTGGCTCTATTTCCTTCAGGATCCATGCACTTCCCATTTCTAGCTAAATCTCACCCCAATGCCAAGCCTCCATTTCCTGATCCATAAAAATATGATGATCATTCCTACAATTTAGGGTCATGGTTGAGATGGGCCCATGAAGAGGCAGGATGCAATGTTCCTGTCACTGCTATCATTTTTATTTGCTGGTGAATCGCTGCAGTGACATTCACTGACTCAGCACCTTCCAGTGGACCAGCACCGCATTGTGTGTGCTCCGGAGGGCTGAAGCAAGTTTTAAAACATCATTTCAGAAGTTGTGTACTTCACAGTTTTCAAATCACTTATCTCGTTTGATCTCATTTTATCCTCACAACAACTTGGATGATTCTCACCCACCCTAATGAAGAAAGCAGAGAACTAGATTTGCATTGTAATTACCATGTTGCCCAAAATGGGAGTCCTCCTATGGAAGGGAAACTTCTTATCACGGCATTTAGCTAGCTCAGTTTTCTTCATAAAACCAGACCTCAGTGCTCACTGTGAATTGCTAAAATCCTCTGTAAGCTGAAGCGCAGACACATATAGTAAGCTGTTTGGGATGGGATGTATGATCCGCACCTGCTGCATACCCAGGGCTGCAGATGGCAAAAGAGAAAGAACTTGGACTATTCATGTCCTCTTACCATTTTCACCAGATGTCTTGTCTTTTCCATTGGTTGCCCCAGCACCTTGTCGCTAAAGGCAAAAAATAAAAGAAAAAAGCAATTGTTATCAGATATACTCGGGATTACTTTTGTCTCTTTTATTGTTGCAAACATCTCTTGCATTATATCAAGTTCTATGTTACTTTAGCTCAGATGGCTAAAGCACTGTGCTAGTGAGAGTAGGAATGGATCCACCAAGAAAGGATGTACTGAAGCTGCACAGACCGGCCCCCTCATCCACATCCACTGCTCTAGGAATGCAGGTCACCAGTAACAAGAGAAACCAGGAGGGAGATCAAGCACAACTTCAATGAAAATATGAAGGCAACAGCCAAGGTTCTGTATCAGCTACAAGATCAGCATTGTTAATGCGTCATTTTGTTAATGACAGTCATTAGGCTGCTGTATTTTCGTTCCAGTCACCATGTCCAATGTCTTCTTTTTTTTTTTTTTTTTTTTTTGAGACTGAGTCTGGCTCTGTCATCCAGGCTGGAGTGCAGCGGCGCAATCTTGGCTCGCTGCAACCTCCGCCTCCCAGGTTCACACCATTCTCCTGCTTCAGCCTCCCAGGTGGCTGGGACTACAGGCGCCCACGACCACGTACGGCTAATTTTTTGTATTTTTAGTAGAGACAGAGTTTTGCCGTGTTAGTCAGGATGGTCTCGATCTCCTGACCTCATAATCCATCCACCTCAGCCTCCCAAAGTGCTGGGATTACAGGCGTGAGCCACCGCGCCCGGCCCAATGTCTTCTTTTTAAATAAATTTTAATCAACTAAGAAACTCTTATGTTTCCTCCTACTTATAAACTATTTTTTCTGCCATTGTTTATACTTGTCCTTTGCATTTTCATTTTACCAGGTTAACTAGAAGTATGAAGTCTTTTAAGGTTAGACTTAACACTTTGGGCAAGATTCTCTGGGTGTGAAGTCTGGGGAGCCGCGTGAAATGCACCACACATGTAAACAGAAAGGGTGTTTCCTCAAAGCTTAACGTGGTTCTAGTTATGGAGAGAGAAGCATTTTGTCAATCCCATTTTTTGGTTGTTATCAAAAAGTATGCTTTGAGTTGAAAAGGATTGAAAAGCTTATAAAGTCTCTAACTTTTTTTTTTTTTTTTTTTGAGACAGAGTCTCACTCTGTCCCAGGCTGGAGTGCAGTGGCAGGATCTTGGCTCACTGCAACCTCCGCCTCCCAGGTTCAAGCTATTCTCCTACCTCAGCCTACAGAGTAGCTGGGATTACAGGCACATGCCACCACCCCCGGCTAATTTTTGTATTTTTAGTAGAGATGGGGTTTCACCATGTTGGCCAGGCTGGTCTCGAACTCGTGACCCCATGATCCACCCGCCTCGGCCTCCCAAAGTGCTGGGATTACAGGCATGAGCCACCATGCCCAGCCAAGTCTCTAACTTTCAGATGAAGAAAATGAGGGAGGTAGGGAGCATGACTTGCCCCAGATCATGCAGCTAATGAGTGGCAGAGTCAAGACTGGAGCCTGGACTTCCTTGACCTCAGGAATTGCTACTGTGATGCCACTATCTGAATGGGATCCTAGAAAAAAACAGCAGAGCACCGAACAAGGAGAAAACCATGATAGGTGACTAAGGGATAAGGTACCCTCAAAATTCATATTTGGGTCCAGGTCTTTAGCCTAAAAACAATATCAGAAAAATAACAATCAGTTTCCTTTGACGTTCAACATTGCCATAAGAAATTCTCAGGTCATTTGTCAACCCTTAATTAATGGTAAATGTATCATCTCGGAAAACCTTGCTCTCAGAATCTGAGAGGTATAAATAAATAGAGTAAATGATCCAGATTTATATTAACAAAGTGAACCATCCTCGTGTATGCTTATTGCATTATGCAGACAATAACCCAATAAAGAAGCAAAGTAAAGCTTCCCACTTATTACGAATACCATTCACCTTCCATCTGAGTCAATGTAAAATGATTTAAATCAGGTAAACCATTTCTTAAATATAGCAGATTTGCAAGTAAAAATGCCTGCTTCTTTTTGTCTGTCCTTATGTTGATGCCTCCTCTTTTTAAACACAAGGCTCGTACGTTTGCTGCACTGGGTGGAAATCTGACTACTACTGAGTTGGACCAAATCCGAGATGGAACAGCCACCTCAGGTGATTAAACTCTGGCATTCAAATCCAGTATCTTTCCCTGCATAATTCATAGATGGCTCAAATAAAAGAAAATTTCACGGAATAAAAGAACAGTGTTTTAGAGTAGAATAAAGTCAAATTAAATGGAAGGCAAGTGCAAAATAGGTGCATGCTCAACCCCACAGTCTTTAAATGCCTTAAATATGGATGCCTTTCAAATGTCATGAATAACTTTTCCATAAAAGATCACTTTTTAGAAACCAGAGGAAAACCAAAATGAAATGTGCACAGGGGAGAAAAGCAGTCATTTTTTCGGGATTTCTAAGATGGGGTTTTTATGTCAGGTTCTATTTAACGGAGACACAATGAAGGTGATTTATGTCGTAGGTGAAGGTGTCTCACATCAAAAAATGATCCTGACAAAAAAAGAACTCGTTATTGAAAGTATTGAAAGTATCTCATTTCAGAATTCTTTGGGACCTTTTGACATTTTCAATGGAGGTCTGAGGGCAGAGGGGGAATTCTCCAAGAGCTGCCCCATTCCCAGGGTCTGGTCTTTACAATACCAGGCAGTTGCAGTTTCACTGAATTTATACTGGAGAGAGTCTACACCAGGCTGGGTGTCGGGTAATCATGGTTCATGCTGCTGGGGCCAGGCTTCAAGGGCGCTCAAGCACCATCAACTCATTGAGTTCTGACAGCATCCCTGATGGGGTAGATGCCCTTAGTGTCTTCATCAGCCTCACTTTACCAATTATATCCTGAGGCACAGAGAGGAATTTGCTCAAGCCCACGAAGTGGGGAAGAGGCAGAGGCAGAATTCAGCCCCCAAGAAGCTGGCTCTGGAGCCCTTCCTTTTAGCCACTGTACTTAAGCATCTCTCAGTACTGTGTGCAGCATACCTCCTGAGGGCCTCTATCAGCGGGTGGGGAGTTAGGAGGCAGTAAGATTTGAGTTTGAAGGTAAATGTGACTTCATTAACACCACAGGCTGGAGTTTTGAGAACACTTGGCTTTTAGGAATAAGCAGAGGCAAACAACAGCCAAGGGCTCAATTCCAGAAATGCTATCAGATCTTTGTTAATGTTTAAATAACATAAGCACCCAGAGCTAGGCTCTACTAAAATAAATAGCAGATGGATGTGTGGATGGATAGATGAATGGATGAGTAGTTGAATGGATGAATGGATGGGTAGATGAATGGATAGGTGGATGAATGGGTGGATGGATGGATGGATGGATGGATGGAAGAATGGATGGGTGGACCTAAGGATGGATGAGTGGGTGGATGGATGGATGGGTGGGTGGATGGATGAATGGGTGTGTGGATGAATGGATGGATGGATGGATAGATGAACAGATGAGTAGATAAATGGGTGGACGGATGGGTAGATGGGTTGATGGTCAAATGAACAGACAGACGGAGGTAGGTCATTCTCTAAGCAACCAACGAAAAGATTCTTTTTCATGACGTGACAGAAGTTAGCATCTTCGGGAAGAGGCTGCCTTTTCTCTCCACCCCACTCTCATCCCCAAATAGGAGAAGATGTGATCTCTTATCTCTGTTCTGAATGAGCTCCAACTACAAGTTCATCATCCTAAGAACATATGTTGCCGACTGAACAGAAGTAGTCATAGTTCAAAAGTATTATTTATTATCATTGAACTAATAAATGAAATCAAATATTCAAGAAACAGGGCACAATAAATTGGCTTCAGAGCAAACCCTGATATGAGATTCTGGAATCCTGAGCTCTTTCTTAGGAATTTCAGAAATGATTCAATGGTATCATGAATACCACCAATGTGTCATTCAGTTTAGATATCAATATAGCTTAATATGTTAGGTTATGCAGAAGGCAGTACAAGTTCTCCCTAAACAAATATGCATAGCCACAATGACCAATTTAATGCAGGTGTAGAAAATATGCTATTAGAATTATCTAGAGAACTAAGGACTAGAGTATTTGAGAGCTTCATGAATATGCATTCAGATATCTGCGAATTTGTCAGCAGATATCTTCTTTGATGTTTTCCAAGGGATCTAGAGAGTGAATCAGTTATGACTGCTAAGAAGAGCATGGGTTGATACATGTGGGATTTTGCTATCTTTTCTTCTGGGGAAGCAGGTAGTAGAGGGGTAGTAGAGGAAAAAGTCACATCAACTTCAACCACAGCAAAACCAGATCCATTAGATTGTCTAATAATTCCACTCCCAGGAGAATGCCACCATGAGTCTTGCAGTCTATATCACAATACTCAGCTCAGATGTTCTCATTCTTCTCCTGATCATCTCCAGCCCGACACCCACCCTAATGACTTCTCTTCCATAAAATGCTCCTGTTTGGGACCCTCCACAACACCTTGTCCCCATGCAGACACGGCATCTTCCTGGATGCTCACCAAAGAGTCTAGAAGAAGGACAGCCCCTTCCTCCTTCAACCGCCTGAAATCAGCGTCCCTGGTGCTCAAGCCAGCTCTGTGTCTATCTACATCATCAGAGACACTGGCCCTCCCTCTTTAAACATGTTAGAGCAATGTCCCTATTTTTATCTCCAGAGACCTCCACAAAAGACAGGTGGCCCTCTGTGAGACAGTGTATTCCACTTGGATTGACCTTCACAATCACAAATAGTAACACCACTGGGCTCTTTCAAACAAAAGACATATTTCCCTCACAATGACTTCCTTCAACATTGTCCTTATTTCACCATTAGAACATGCTACATACCCATCTAAGGTTCAACACCAGAATTCACAATCACAGCCTGCATCCTTGGCCCTGTGCCAGGCAGGTGGTGCATGAGCTGGGACTCTCTGGAGGGGCCACAGGAGGATCCAGGAGGCAGATGAGATGCCTCTGGGTTCTTAAACACGTGCCAAGCAATTCACACAGCTTCAGAAAGCGAGGTTTCCATTCTTGGCAGTGTTCGTGAATAAAAGTAGAGTGCTTCAGAATCTAATAAAACCCCAATTAAAGGGAATCTAAATAACAAATGGGTATATGAAGATCCTTGTGCATCTAACTGTTTCCTCTGATAATCTCATACATGCCCGGTATCCATAAAAAGGCAGGAGAGGTGTTTAAAGGTACAATTTTTTGAAGTAAATTTTCCTGACAGTTCTGTTGCACCAAGATCTGCAGGAAAGTAGTGAAGAATATATATTAGTCTGGGTTTCCCAGAAAACAGAGCATGAGGCAGATGTCGGTTGCACTATGGTTTTATTAGAGAAGGCAGTGCCAGAAGTGAAAGAGAGAGGATGGGAAGGTGGGGAGTGGAGAGGCAGCTGCTATGAGGATTCTTCATCAGACTGGCCATTGAGAGGTATAACCAAATGCTGATCCTCCCAGCCCCGGAGGGTAACCATCCTTCTACCCTCCGTGTCTACGAGTTCAATTGTTTTGATTTTTAGACCTGACAAGTACGTAAGAATATGCAATGTTTGTCTTTCTGTAACTGGCTTATTTCCCTTAACATAATAATCTCCAGTTCCATCCATGTTGTTGCAAATGACTAGATCTCATTCTTTTTTACGGCTGAATAGGGGAGGTGGGGATGGTTAATAGGTACAAAAAATAGTTAGAATAAATAAGACCTGCTATTTGATAGCACAACAGGGTGACGATAGTCAATAATAACTGTACACTTTAAAACAATTTAAAGAGTGTACTTGAATTGTTTGTAACTCAAAGGATACATGCTTAAGGGAATGCATACCCCATTCTCCATGATGTATTTATTTCACATTGCATGCCTATATCAAAATGTCTCATGTCCCCTATAAATATATACACCTACTATGTACCCACAAAAATTAAAACTTAAAAAAAGTTTTAAAACACAAAATTCTAAATGCTGATCTTGCAGTGTGGCCCCCGAGAGCTGTGTGAACTGTGTCTGAGGACAGAGGCTCTAGGGAGAAGACTAAAAAGTTATCCACCGTGGGGTGGAGGATTACCTAGGTGCCAAGGCAAGAGACTGAAGGCACAAACTGTTTCAGTATAATAAAGAAAATAGTTAGAATAAGGATAGTCATAATACAAATTAGATGTAGAGATGATCATGAACAATTATCAATCATTATTATAAACATTATTAATCATTAGCTTTTAATATTACTCTTTGTTGCATTACTGATATAACCTAGGAATAACCGGCGGACATGGGGTGAGGTGCTGAAGGGACATTGTGAGAAGTGACCTAGAAGGCAAGAGGTGAGCCCTCTGTCACGCCCGCATAGGGGCCGCTTGAGGGCTCCTTGATCAAGCGGTAACGCCAGTGTCTGGGAAGGCACCTGTTACTTAGCAGACCGCAAAAGGGAGTCTCCTTTCCTTGGAGGAGTCAGGGAACGCTCTGCTCCACCAGCTTCTTGTGGAAGGCTGGATATTATCCAGGCCTGCCTGCAGTCATCCGGAGGCCTAAACCCCTCCCTGTGGTGCTGTGCTTCAATGGTCACACTCCTTGTCCACTTTCATGCTCCTCCCGTACTCCTGGTTCCTCTTTGAAGTTCGTAGTAGATAGCAGTAGAAGAAATAGTGAAAGTCTTAAAGTCTTTGATCTTTCTTATAAGTGCAGAGAAGAAAACGCTGACCTATGCTGCCTTCTCTCTCTGCTTCGGCTACCTAAAAGGGAAGGGCCCCCTATCCTGTAATCACGTGACTTGCTTCACCTTGTCAATCACTTAGAAGATTCACCCTCCTTACCCTGCCCCCTTGTCTTGTATGCAATAAATAACGGCCAGCCCAGCCGTTCGGGGCCACTGCCGGTCTACGCGCCTTGATGGTAGTGGTCCCCCAGGCCCAGCTGTTTTCTCTTTATCTCTTCGTCTTATGCCTTTATTTATTACAATCTCTTGTCTCCACACACGAGGAGAATACCCGCTAAGCCCCGTAGGGCTGGACCCTACACCACCAGCTGCCATCTCTCGTTGATCCAAGGTGCTCCACAGAGCACCAATTCCCCATGCATCTGGACCATGCAAAGTCTTGCACCTTGCATCTGCCTGGGTTGATGAGGAAGCCCCAAGGCAAGGGGTGGAGGTGGAGGTGATTGATGTGGGCAGGAGATGACATGCTGTTACTGTGTACCTGCCTGAAGTCTGCAGAGCCCACGCTGAGGCAGCCACCCACGGGGGTCCTCAGAGAGGGCCTAGTGACACATGAGAGGTGTCTGACTCAGCACATAGACAAGGCTGGGTGACTATTTTTTTTTCACTAAGTTGCAAAATCACAAACAATCCCTTCATATTCAATACCCTGCTAGTTGAACAGACCACATCAAGTTCCACGTGAATAGTTGGCCTTGGATCCATTTCTGTCTGTACTTTGAGCTTAGAATGGACATAAAGATATGTCTGAACATAAGTATGCTACATTTAGGAGCTGTGCAACATCATCAATACCTAGGTCTTCAGTTCAGGGCTTGAACAGAAAATGTGCTGGCATCCCAAACATCACTAACAGTCCCACAAACAAATTCCTTTGAAAACAAAAAACTCAATTACTTCTCAGTCTACTATTCTTCCTTGTGAAATCCATTACAAAATCACAGTGTTCTTGAAATAGCCACCACTGGATAAGGCAAGCAAGGCATTTCCCCTGGGCACAAAATTTAAGAGGGCTCCAAGAAACTCAGTAATCAAAATAAATCATATGTTAACGCAATATTTTTCAAATAAAAAGTACTGCAAAAAGTCATGATGAACAAAATATTAAAATTTTGTCCAGGCACGGTGGCTCATGCCTGTAATCCCAGCACTTTGGGAGGCCGAGGTGGGTGGATCACCTGAGGTCAGGAGTTTGAGACCAGCCTGGCCAACATGGTGAAAACCCGTCTCTACTAAAAATGAAAATTAAAAAAAAAAAAATGAGCTGGGTGGGGTGGCAAATGCCTGTAATCCCAGCCACTCTGGAGGCTGGGGCAGGAGAATCGCTTGAACCTGGGAGGCAGAGGTTGCACTGAACCGAGATCATGCCATTGCACTCCAGCCTGGGCAACAAGAGTGAGGCTGTCTCAAAATAAATAAATAAATAGATAACGAAATATTAAAATTTGAAATAGACAGGATTGGAATGACCGATATTTCCTTCTGTCTTGGGCTTCAGTGTGGCTCAATCCAACTCTAGTCACTATGTCTCCCTGAAGTAAGGAAAAGATTGGAGAAACCCAGTAATTCCAAGCTTTCAGAAAATTATTCTAATACAGTCATTGAAACCTTTTCATTGTATCATGGGCCATGCCTGGGCCTGAAGGACTTCTGTGGTTGTTTTGAGAGTGTTTATTACACGACTTCTAGAATGCTGCAGTGGAAGGCCTCGCTTCCACCCTTTGTTGTCTATACCCATAAAATCAGTGTGCTATTCATACATCAGTTAGAAGCCAACTCACCCAAACCTGTTTTATCATTTATCATAACCCAGAACACGAGACAGATCATGCCTATTTGGGAAATAATTCAGCCCAGTACACTTTGTTCCATCTTTAGGATAAAATACAAGTTCCCATTAAAAGACACGTATTTTTCATTCCAGAGATTGAAGAGTATGAAATGTGAAATGAATTCCAGCTGGTTAAATTTGGGGTCCAAACTGCAGTCTAATAATATTTTTTTCTGAATGTATGCCTCTAGCATTTAAGTGGGTAAATCTGTATTCACTCTAAGAACTTGGTTTGAGGCTGGGCACGGTGGCTCACGCCTGTAATCCCAGCACTTTGGGAGGCCGAGGCAGGCAGATCACGAGGTCAGGAGATAGAGACCATCCTGGCTAACACAGTGAAACCCCATCTCTACTAAAAATACAAAAAATTAGCCAGGCGTGGTGGTGGGTGCCTGTAGTCCCAGCTACTCAGGAGGCTAAGGCAGGAGAATGGCGTGAACCCGGGAGGCGGAGCTTGCAGTGAGCCGAGATCGTGCCACGGTACTGCAGCCTGGGTGACAGAGCAAGACTCTGTCTCAAAAAAAAAAAAAAAAAAAAAAAGAACTTGGTTTGATATTTAATTTGGTGAGATATGGTTGGACTGGGCGGGGGGCTCACCACTTTTGAAGACCCCTAAGGGTTAGGGAATAAGGAGGCTTCTGAAGCTGTCAGGGCCCAGGTCATCTCCAAATTTCTTAGGGTGCCATACACTCCTCCCTTTCTTTCCCATCTCCCCAGTAGACTTGCCTATGTGGCCACCAAATATTCGTAAGAGCTTTATTCATGAATCTGGCTTTGGCAACACTAGAAAGAAAGAGAGCATCCTCATGCTGCCAGATCCACAGGGGACAAGGGACAACTGGACCCACAGAGGCCCCTGGCTCACAGAGGCGTTCCCTCTCGGCCCCGTGATCAAGCCACGCAGGGATGGAAGTGAAATGGGCTCCTCCCAGTCTTGCTGTCAGCCTCTCACGGCTACGGCACAGGAAAACTTCTCTAGTTAAAGGACTGTGGTGTCTCCCAGGCTAAGAAGTAAAGACTACTTTTTAAAGTGAAACGTAGAAATTAGGTACCTTTACCAATGTGCAAAGCTGTCAGGAGAAAAAGTCACGGGTACAGGGTCAGACAGGTACCCAGACTCAGCCAGGTCAGGGGACCAACTCCTGGACTGTTCATTTTTGCCTTTGCTGAGCCAGGTCCTGGGCTGGGCCCGAGGGTCCCAAGCAGAAGGGACCCACTGCTTCCACTTTGGTGGCTCACAGCCTGGAGGGCCGGGCAGAGAATAAAGCAACCATCTCAGCGTGGAGGGGAGGAGCTGAGACCCAAGAATGATTGACATCGGGGGCAGCGGGGGAGTCCCCTAACTCACACCGCTGTCAGCTCTTGAGGGAGGTGTGCCAACCACTGACTGTCCCCACCAGCTGCGTATCACTGGAGAAATTCCTCATTGAAGTCTCAGTTCCCTCCCTGCCAAAGAAAAATGATAATCCATGCCTCCTACTGGCCACATCTAAGGAGCCTGGACCCAGCAGCCACGCTCCCCCCACTTATCCATCAGTGACAGCGTTTACCACAACAGCCATTGTTGAGTGATGTTAAATGGGTGGTTTATGAAAAGAAAGGAAGTATTTGTTCCTGAGTCCTCTTTAAAATTTTGCCCCCCGTTCCCAACGTCTGACTTCTGTTGGCCCCTGTCTACCACAGAGTTGCTGAGATTCTGCAAAGGAAGGAAAATAAATCCATCTCGTTCTCATGGTGGCTTGAAAGCTCTTGTTAGCAAGTGCTACTTAACAGCGTCTATCCCCCGGTGCTGTGTCTTCTCGTAAGTTATTTTTCTCCACAGTGCTGTCTTCTTTTTGTGCTGTAGCATCCTGATATCAACACTTCTAATGGTTTCAGGGTTTTTAGCTCCCCTGGAATGGCAGCATCTCGACAAGCAGTTCCCTAGATGGATCATAAAAAAGGGGAAAAACACGAATCCGCATATCTTTGGTATATATTGCACATGGGGACCATGAAGTTTCAGATATTGCATATTCCTCGCACAATTAATACCCCACACAGCAGAGACACAAAATGCAGGACTGCCTCCAGTCACCCCAGTAAGCCCTTCTAAGGGTTTCTTGTCTGCTTTCTCTGAATCACCCTGTTTATAAAGAAACAAAAAGGCCTGTTACTATGGTATTATATGTAATGTTATTTTGACGAAGGCTAATCAGGCTCTTAGATGATCCATCTTTGAATGAACAGAGAAGCAAAGCACAGGGATTGCACAGTGAAATGGCATCAACAGCCGGGCAGGTAAGCACGTAGCTGAAGACTGCTTGAGGCCACCTCGATCATTAAGCAAATGGATTCTCAGGAACATTGAAGACCTATCATCAAAGGCAACTTCAAAATCAAAGTTGCTGAATTTGTCTGATGAGCAGAAGAGACTTTTATGCCTACATTTTGTGACAGAGACAGAAAAGATTTAATTTCTCGCCAGTGATATTTTTGTCATCTATAATTCTCCTAATAACATTCCAAAAATTGAGCATTAATTTAATCCCTAAAGGTGTAGAAATTCATGTCAAAAGAAAACTTCAGCTAGAAGGTTTTTTAAAAAAAAAAAAACCAAAAAACAAAAAAAAAGTTGGTTAAAAAAAAGTGATGGGATTTTCAATGACAAAGGCATTAACCTTTCTAATTCCTCCTCTCTTCTTTCATTCTCACCTCTGGAAGACCCAAAGGCTGAAATTCTGCCTCAAATACTACGTTCTATTCCTGTCATTTTTTTATCCTGACCTTTATGGTAAGAGAATTAATTAGCATCACTGCAGTTTAGGCAAACCATTTATAAACGTACCATCATTTTCAGGTATCCACGATTTATTTTATTGGAATTAATTTTATACTTTTTTTCACAGCTATATTTTTAAAATTCGCATTTTCTACTTTAAAAAAATTCTTCTTTGTGCCAATTTTCATGCTGAAGAACACTGTTTTCTATTTGCAAAAGTAGGATATGGCCGTTGTGAAATTTTTGGAACATAAATGAGCAAGGAAAAATGCAAAAAGCCACCTACAATTCAACTAATCAGAGTTAATCCATGTTAATACTTCAGAATATTTTCTTTTCATCTTCTTATAGGTGGACATATATATAGTCTCTCTTTTATAAAACCAACCACATGCCATATATATAATTTCATAAAGATATACATTACAACTTAAGGAACAGTTGCTATTTAATGACTTCTGTGTGGACTCTTCTAATTTCACAGATTTCACAGTGAAATGTCCAGCCCACACTGTTGAGTTCATTTGGAACTCCCTCTGACTTTTCAAATCTTACATATTTCATACTTGTCACTTGTTTATTTTTGAGATGGAATTTCTCTTTTGTTGCCCAGGCTGGAGTGCAATGGTGTGATCTTGGCTCACTGCAACCTCCACCTCCCAGGTTCAAGCAATTCTCCTGCCTCAGCCTCCCAAGTAGCTGGGATTACAGGCATCTACCACCATGCCCAGCTAATTTTGTATTTTTAGTAGATTTGTATTTTAGTAGATTTAGTATTTTTACTAGTATTTTACTAGTATTAGTGTATTTAGTAGATTTGTATTTTAGTAAAATAAGCCACTTGTTTATTCAACTTGGCTCAACAAAGACTCATGGTGACGACTTTTGTGTTGCTGTCAGTTTCCTGAAAATTAATATCATAGAAGGTTCTGAATGGTCCTTGACATTGGGCAGAGCTACTACCACTTTTGCAGTATGGTGGGCTGAATTGGGACCTCCACCCACAATTCACATGAGGAAGCCCTAACCCCAAGTACCCCACAGTGTCATCCTATTGGAAGATAACATCTTTGCAATCGAGTAAAGAGAGCTCATTAGAATGGGCTCTAATCAAATAGGACTGTGTCCTTATTAAAAGGGACAATTTGAACACAGACATGCAGAGGGAAGACAGTGTGGACACACAGGGAGAAGACAGCATCTACAAGCCCGGAAGAGGGGCCTGGAGCAGATTCTCCCTCATGGTGCTCAGAAGGAACCAACCCGGCAGACACCAGGATTGTAAACTTCTGGTCTCCAGAACTATAAGAGAATACATTTCTGTTGTTTAAGCTGCCCGCAGACTAATTAATACATTCAGACAGCAACATAGGAAAGAACAGACTCATCCACAGGAGCTGATAGAAGCACGCTCAGGAAAGAAAGCCGGGCAAAGTCTGGCTCCCAGGCTCTGGGGCCTGTCCTGGCGTCCTGTCCCAGGGGAGGGAGAGGGTGCCTGGCTTTGGGGGATGCCCAGGGCACAGGGGAGGGCATCTCCTTCAGCGCAGCTTGGGTGTGTGCCCTCTGCAGGGGGATGTGACTCCACGGGCATGGGCTGAATTCTCTCCTGAACCCCAAACCACATGGAGGTAGGACACTCCCTGGGCTAGAAAGAAGAGATGTGTCCTCCCTCAACCACATGCCCAGAACTGTTTCTCCAGCCCCGAGCCAGAGGTTTCCCCAGCCGCCAGCCTGATGTCCTTCTCGGCTGCCTTGTGAGGGCAGCGCCTGGCAGAGGGACAAGCTGTGGTCAGAGCAGAGGGAGGGCAACCGGGAGCTCCGCTGGGCCTCAGGCTCGCGGCTAGGCCTCAGGCTCGTTGCTTCTTAGCAACCAACACCTCCCACAGCCCTGGCTCCCCTGGGACTACATGGTTGAATAGCCCCCTGGAGCAGGAGCAGGTGGCGCTTGCTCAGTGTCAGTTTGAGAAGGAGCAGGACAGAAACCCATTTAACGGCTCTGGCTAAGGCTGCTGTTCAGAATCAAAAGCGTTCCCATTCATTGAATGCCCTCCCTGCAGTCAGAGATCCTGGCATAATTTACAAGGACCAGGAACATAGGTCACTCTGGTGTCATTTTGTTACTTTTCTATACTTCAGCTATTCATTATAAAGTAACATTTATAAACTGTCGCACTATGAGATTTAATTGACTTAAAAGCTGATATGATCATGCTATACTCAAAACGGTGTAAATACCTTGCATCGTAATTGGGCTTATTTTTATTTAAGGTGTGCTGGTGAAGAATGTGGGCTCTAGGGCCAAGGGTAGAAAGAAAGGACTGACTATAAGCACACAAATAAACTTTTCAGGTGATAGAATAATCTCTGTCTCTCTCTCTCTCTCTCTCTCTTTTTAAGACGGAGTCTCCTCTGTCACCCAGCCTGGAGTGCAGTGGCATGATCTCCACTCACTGCAACCTCTGCCTCCTTGGGTTCAAGCAATTGTCCTGTCTCAGCCTCCCGAGTAGCTGGGATTACAGGCACATGCCACCACGCCTGGCTAACTTTTGTAATTTTAGTAGAGACAAGGTTTTGCCATGTTGGCCAGGCTGGTCTCGAACTCCTGACCTCAGGTGACCTGCCTGCCTCAGCCTCCCAGAGTGCTGGGATTACAGGTATGAGCCACCATGCCTGGCCAGAATAGTCTATATCTCAATTATAAGACTGCATGTCAGCTGGGTGCGTTGGCTCACTCCTGTAATCCCAGCACTTTGGGAGTCTGAGACAGGCGGATCACCTGAGGTCGGGAGTTTGAGAACAGCCTGACCAACATGGTGAAACCCCGTCTCTACTAAAAATACAAAATTAGCTGGGCATGGTGGTGCATGCCTGTAATCCCAGCTACTTGGGAGGTTGAGGCACGAGAATTGCTTGAACCTGGGAGGCGGAGGTTGCAGTGAGCCAAGATCACACCATTGCACTCCAGCCTGGGCAACAAAAGAGAAATTCCATCTCTCAAAAGAAAAAAAAAAAAGACTGCATATGTCAAAACTCATCGAACATACAACTAAAAGGGGTAGATTTTACCACATGTAAATTACACCTTAATAAACTTAACCTCAAAAATAAGTGTGCTGGAATCCAACTACCCAGGTAATCCCAGCCCTGGTCCCCAGCAGCTGTGTGGCCCAGTTCAGGTCACTTAACTTCTCTGAGCCTCAGTGTCTGTTTTTATTACATGAGAATAACAATATACCCACCTCATTAATGTGTGAGAACTAAATGAGATAAAAACACTCACATTGCATGGATTTGGTTTCTAAGAAAAATCAGAGAGCAAAATAATGGTAAAACAGGCTTAAGAAGAGATGTTTCTCCTTTTTTTTTCATTGTATTCAACTTGCAATATAGTAAAAGTAATGAAAACAGTGCATTGAGCTCACAGTTGAAACACTGGGAGTAAATATGGCTGAATCACCACAAATAAATGATTCTGCTCCTCAAAGCCTTGGCTTCTTTATTTGACCAGTTTCTTTTTCATGGTGAATTAAAATAAAATAGAATACAGAAAATATGTACCTCACATGGATGTCAAGAGACTCCAAACAAAGAATACTGAGATTTGTGTCATTTTTCTCATGAAGGACGTAGGCTCTACCTGTGTTACGAAGTTGTTAATTTCAGCTGAAGTTTCCTGGATCTCTGATTCCAACGGATGCATTTTGTGTGTTTTGTACAAATCACAGCTCATATTTTTTTCTAGAAAGGGAAAATACAGGAGGAGGGAACGCTGATGACAAAGAAGAAATGTGGATGGAAGACTGGGAGAACTCAGTGGCCCTGTTACAAGGTGTGTGCATCTGCTCTAATCAGCAGCCTCTCCCCAAACCAGAGGTTGGGTCAAAGGGCCCAGGAATCAACATGCAAGCACCTCCATTTATGCCAGCTACAGCCAAATTCACCTGCACCCCCCAACCCCACCAAGCCACCCTTGGCAACCCCATGGATCTGTAGGATGCTAGGACAATGCATCAATGTAGGTGTCTACCACCTTCTGCATCTGAACTGTACACAAAGGAAATACTTGTCCATCCAACCCACTTCTTTGATTGCCTTCCTGAATTGGTGTTGAATCCTTAGATTAGTCTCAGAATAAAGGCTGCTGGTATATGAGCCAGATGCTAGCTAGAGCAGCTGCTGTGATTAGAAAAAAAATAACAGTGGGCTCTCGGACAAAGGCAAAGAGACCCAAATGTTTATTACAAGGTTATATTCTCACAGTCTACGTAGAAGTTGCCAGATTGAAGCAGTACAGAGAAGAATAGAAGAGATTCGATTTCTCTCCCCATCCCTAGAAGTTATGGCTGACCAGCCCGATGCCAAGAGTAACAGAGGGTGGAAAACTGTCAATGAAAGATCAGTGTAATGACAGAAACTGAGCCCTGCCTGTAACTCACCCATTTAAGGGTAAGTCTTTCTTACACAGACGATTAGGGGAAAAACCAACAGGCAGGGCCAGTCTTCTAGAACTAAATGAAACTGACGATGTAATCATTTCAAGAACACTAAGGATGCCTGCCTGTCCCTCCGAGGATGATGTGGTTCTTCTAGCAATTTTATACTTCAACTAGGGAAGCTGACATGAGATCAGAAAACCCACATGGGGTCTTCCCGGATTACAAAAACCGGCCACAGAGAAAGACACATCTTTTCTTTGCTTTCAGCAGTAATGCCAGCTTTCCATTCCCCCAGTCCTCCCCAGTACAGCTGGTAAAATGCCATGCCGGGTGTACTCAGATAAAAGCCAAAGAATGACCAAAGACCACAGGATGAAATGCCGCAACAGCTGGGAGACTCTTGCCCTGCCAGTCCCTAAGCAGTCATCCATCCTGAATGATCTCTCACCATGGCCACATTGGCTCTGCCACGGTTGAGCCAAGCGTAATGTACCGCTGCACTCGGCATCCTCATCAAGTGAACAAAAAGGTGTGAGAAAGAAAGCACACAGGCCAAACCTGCGGTTATTCAAGAGAAGCCCATATTTAGAGCTGAGTGAATAGATGAGACCTCCAAGTTCGGCAAAGATGTTTTCCTTTCTTTGCACCAAGTCACAAGGCTCTGTCTGCAAATGCAAGCAGCTATGTTTTTTCAGTCATAGTAAGAGCAGCTAAACACTCTCATGGAAACAAGCCTACTACAAGGTGGCTACTGCCTTTATCCCGACTGGATGGAGAGAAAACTTGAGACACAGAGAGGCTTAGGATTATGCCCAAGCATGTTACAGCTATGTGAGGGGGTCAGGGAATGGAATTTGAGTCTGGGCAGATTGACTTGGTGTTCTACTTGCCATTTAATCTTTCCGGTCTAGAAGGGGAAAGATTGGCTTGGAAGACGGAAAACCTGACTTGGACGCCCCCTTTCTGCCATCAACGATGCAGACATATTATGCCTCAGTCCATCTGGGTGCAGAGTCGGAATCACGTTTCCTGCCCTCTCTTATTTTAAAGCAACATTGTGGAAATGTATGACATCGCACAGGACTCTGCATTTGAAAATAGGTGGGCCATTTTAGGAAAAAACGGGACAAATGCATTTCACATTGTCAGGGAACTCAGTAATGCATCACTCAGAGTCCCGTGTCCGCTGTGATGTCAGAACTGCAGATGTACGTTTCATGCATCTGCGAGGACAGGACCCTGGCACCATGAAAACAGTTCTTGCTTCATAAATCACTCTGTCCAGGTGTCTCAATGTGTTTTTCATGTGTTTAACTGGCTTCCTAGACCCCCATGCAAACCCTTTTCCTATGGAGGCTAATGCCACTGTTCCCGCAATGACCTGTTGTAATGAAATGCAGGTGTGTAGTTTATTTGGCCCTGTGTGCTGCCAAACATGTTTCTCTAACAGTGAGTGCCCCAAGCTTCAGAAGCTGGAGACTTTCTTTTTTGGTATAATAATAAACAAATAGCCAGGTTTCTCCCCCCAACATTCAACTAGAACAAAAATAGCTTCAGAAAACAGTAGAAGCCCAAGATTGTATACTTTTGGAAGAAAAGGAATGTTTTGTCCTAAATCAGCTGTCACAGCCCAAGAAGTGGATTGAGACTCAGATTAGCAGACAGGTAAAAGTTATATGGGCCATTTGATCAGATGCTCCCCGCAGAAGTGAAAATTCTACTCTCCCACAAAAAAAAATAAAATGCACACACGACCACCAATACGAACAACCAACTCATCTAACAGCTGTGCCTCCTTCATAATAGATATTTGTTCCATATTTTGTTTCAAATTCCTCTGAAATCCAGAAGGATTTAATTGGCTGGAAAACAAACCCAATTCCAATTTAAACATTGTTTTCCAGGGACAAGGCACTTACAAATGGCCAAAGGTCACACCACCAAATTACTTCCTATCTGCACATATTGATCCCGGAATTACTAAGGTAGACCTCTTTATTTCCAAAGCCCAGCATACAAAAATGTTTCTTTAACTGAAAAGCCTAGTACGTCTGCATTCTGTTCCCTCCGGACATACTCAGGAAGAAGAAGTGAGGACCAAAGACTTGATAGAAAAAGACGTGGGACAAAACTGGCCAGCGGATGCTTTCACCTGGATAAACAACCAGCACTCGATAAAGACAGTTGGAATCAGAATTCGAGGACATTTGCACACAGAGTTTAGCATTTATATGGCCTTTAAACATATACACGTATACACACACACTCACACGCATGCACACACACACACTCACACACACGCACACACAGATGTACATGCACATACATATGCCAAGTGATTTTGAATCCATTTTATTACTTCATCATCAAAAGAGTCCTCAGCACCAGCCAAGCTGATGCTTGAACACAATAGTTTCTTATTCAAGCATGCTGCTAGGGAGGCTTCCTCCAAACCAACTTGAAAGCTCCCTTGGATTTGTGGGAAAGACCCTCCACCCACTGACCTCCATGGTCAGGCTTGGGCCATTTTGAGAGCTTCCACTTGGACAGGGAATAGATATAGATAGATATAGATATAGATATAGATATAGATATAGATATAGATATAGATATAGATATAGATACAGATATAGATATAGATATAGATAGATATAGATATCTCCAGACATTGCAAAGATAATGGAATTATGTTTCTTCAGCTCTGCCTCTTTTGTTTTTAATTTGTTCATTAAAAAGCAATTGGGATGCTTCTCATTTTGACCCAGGACTGGCCTCATGAGAGAGTGACCCATGCGGTCCAAGGGGGACCACTCTCAGAAGGGCCCTGGCTTGGTCTGATATGTTGCTGTCCCCATCTTCAAATTCTAATCAATGTTTAACAAGGGGCATCGTATTGATTTTTCATTGGGGCCACAAATTATGTCACTGGTCCTGCCCTACTCCCTGTCACAGGCTTTTATGGATGTCTGAACTCTGAGCTACGTTACCTCAAAAGAGGTTGAAGGCAGAGGGGGCCAGCAGGGCGGGTTACAGAACCATGATGTGTTTTTAACTGGACTCACTTCTGCCAGTATCTGCCTGACTCTTCAGCCCATGTCTCTTTTCCTTGTTGTAATACTAATGGGGGCATTAAGGAGCCAGAGAAGGGGCCTCCGACGCCACTGCTTGTACCTCTGGAGTTACATTTAGCGGCATTTATATTTTGTCATGTGAAATTCGAAATCCTCATCCAAAATGCAACTGTGGGGGAACTCTCATAGGAATTTCAGCCAATTCTGGCTCCTAGCAAGAACTCAGAAAAAAAGTGATGACATGGAAATTCATAGAATAGTGCCTGAGAAATGAAATGAATCATTTTTAAAGACGGCAAAGAAGGAACCTGGATGAAAAATAACTATGAACTTGAAGGAGGTATTTGGTGGAGGTGCTTGACAAATTGCTACATCTATTTTAAGAAACTTTCTTGGCCAGGATTGGTGGCTTAATGCCTACAATCCCAGCTCTTTGGGAGGCCGAGGCAAGCAGATCACTTGAGGTCAGGAGTTTGAGACCAGCCCGGCCAACATGGTGAAACCCCATCTCTACTAAAATTACAAAATTAGCTGGTCATGGTGGTGCGCACCTGTAATCCCAGCTACTCAGGAGGCTGAGGCAGGAGAATCACTTGAACCCAGGAGGTGGACTTTGCAGTGAGCTAAGATAGCGCCATTGCACTCCACCCTGGGCAAAAAGAGTAAAATTCAGTCTCAAAAAAAAAAAAAGAAAAAGGAAAGAAAAGAAAATTTTCTTCAAGAAGAGGTAAAATATCCCACATTTCTGAGGTATAGAACATTTCCAGAAATATTTGAGGTGTGGCACTGTATTATCTAGATATTTTGACAAGACTTAAGCATATGTGAGAGCAGAGTTATAAATACAGGGTTGAGCCCATCCCCTGAGCAAACTTCAAAGAAAAGACAATAATATAATGGTTAAGAAGCCACTAGAAGCTCTGAGATACAAAGTGCAATGATACTCTACCATGAGCAAGCACGGATAGATACTCTCACAAAGGGAAATAACAGACATACCTAAATCCATGTACACAGTTCTCACAATTGGATCATGTAAATTTTACAACCAACCAATGTGTGCACTTTCAAAAATGTAATTGACTGTCCTCATGTAATCTCTTTCCAATATACAGAAGACTTTTCACTTTTAAAGAAAGATGCAACAAGTCCCTAGAGCCCAAATATTCATTGATGTGGATGAGAAAATGTCCAACATGTTTAAAGCAATTTTTATCACCAGGCAGGAGTTCAGAATTAACTACAGTATCATAATGGACATGTATCTATACAATGAGCTTGAAGATTGCTAAATTCTCACATGGCTCTAAATTGTATGACTTTTAAGATTCGCAGAGTGCTATCGTAGTGCTATTCTTCAATCAATGTGTGCTGAGCCCCTACTTCTGTAAGCCCCGGCTGCTTTGGGAAGGTTACCCATTAGCATCTTCTTTCCTCTCCTTCCCAGCTCTGAGCAATGGCAAATTAACCCATGCATCCTGGCACTTGCTTTATACAGAGAATAGGCCTGTAGCTCTGCGTGGACACCAGAGTAGAGTTAATTTTATGTGATTCTGTCTCCCCCTACAAGTTCTTTAAGGGGTAAGGACCACGTCTTATTGATTCTCCATCAATGGGAGTTCAATGATATAGTGCTGGGAAGATGAAACGGTATAGAAGACATAATCTCTCTCTCTCTCTCGTCACAATCTAGAAGAAAAAAAGAAATGTGACTACAAAATTTGTGATGACTGATTATATATGCAATGGTTTTGGCCATAAAAAGGGCCACCATTTTCTGGACAAATGTTTTCTAAAAATTGTGTATGTTAGGGTTCAGAATGCTCTTCCTCATTCAAACAGAGCACTAGGAAGTAAGCAAGGCATAAAGGTGATTGGTATAACCTCAAAGTCAAGAACACTACCAGGCAAAACAAAAGAAAACTTTGCCAACAAGGGTCTTGTTTCTTTGATTGTTTTGTTTTGTTTTTGTATTTGTTTTTGTTTTGAGGCAGGATCTGGCTCTGTTGTCCAGGCTGGAGTGCAGTGGCATGATCATGGCTCACTGCAACCTCCACCTCCCAGGCTCAAACCATCCACCCATCTCAGCCTCCTGAGTAGCTGGGACTACAGGAATGCACCACCACACCCGGCTAATTTTTTTTTTTTTTTTAATTTTTGGTAGAGACGGGGTTTCGCCATGTTGCCCAGGCTGGTCTCTAACTCCTGGGCTTAACCAATCCTCCCACCTGGGTCTCCCAAAGTGCTGGGATTACAGGAGTGAGCCACCATGCCCAACAAGGGTCTTAATGAAACATTCCACAGGGAAGCATTATTAACATTTCTCAGCTTCTCTGTGTGTGACGGGATGGGAGGCTGGGGGTGTCAGGGTGGAAGCTGGAATCCCTAGAAATAGAGTGGAAGACCTGATGAACAAAACAATGGCTTTGTCAAGATTTCTGTGGCTGTTCTTTTTTTACTCAAGGCTAATAAAAATATTCAGGACAATTTTAATTTAATAAATTACTTGTGCAAACCCTAAGTGGAATTTGGACAGGTTTAAAAGAAATTAGGTTGTATCCAGAAAATGAGAAATGTAATAGCATGGAAAATGTGGAAAGGAAACTTAGGTTTTCTCTGAAGAAGCTCTGTGATTCTGCACAAGATTCATCGTTGGACACTCAGTCCCCTATTTTAAAATGACCACTTTGAATGAAATGACAACGATGCCCTTCTCTGATTCCCTGAATTCTAAGTGGAACTATAAAAACGACAGCCTTTCTCAAGGTCAACCGTCCTTAAGCAGGCTGACATCAACTCAAGGAAGGGCAGAGCCACCATGTTCAGTGGCATAGGTTGTTCACAGCACAACTCCAGGCAGTGCTGTTGGCACAGACCACAGTGTCAACGGCACCTCTGGGGTTGTAAGGTGCTTCACTGCCACAAACACTCATGGTAAAGAAGACTTTAGAATTTCTATTTATATTTGTGTAGGATCTAAGATCAATTTAAAAATTAGGTTTCATTCATAGCTAATATCTGGATTGATAATGACATCATCACTTGGTGGGTAGGAAAGAGTAGGAGTCCCACAATGGGAGATTGTCCCAGACACACTGCCTGTTGACTTGCTCTCAGAATATCATCATGTGATACCTTGCAGTTCCTTATGTTCCATTAAGAGGATTTACAGATTATACAATCTACCTTTAACTAAACTAATCTTCCCACAGTAGGTAAGTGGCTTTTAAAATGTCCTATATAGTCACAGGCCACAACATAGATGAACCTTGAAGACATTATGCTAAGTAAAATAAGCCAGTCACAAAAAGACAAATACTGTATGATTCCACGCACAGGAGGTACCAAAAGTAGTCAAACTGATAGAGGTAAGAAATAGAATGGGTTTGCCAGAGGATAGGGGCGGGGTAATGGAGAGTGGTTGTTGAATGGGTGCAGAGTCTTGGCTTTGAAAGATGAACAAGTTCTGTGGACCCGTTTCACGACAGTGTAAATGTAATTAATACCGCTGAACTGTACACTTAAAAGTGGTTAAAATAGTAAATCATATATATATTATTTACTATATATTTAATATATATTTCAATTAAATATATATTCAGATTTAATTGAAAAATTCTGCATTAAATCATAGACTGAAAATAATACTAACACCATCAGCACAAACACCAAGGAAACGATAGAAGCACTAACTAAACCTTCTTTTCTTAGGATGTCTTCATGGGCACCAATACAAGCTTAAAAACCTCAGCCATCAAATTAGACTCAAAAAGAAGTACAGTTACCAAAAAGTCTATTGGAATTACAGATTTCCTTACCCTTCCTTTAATGATTAACTCTTACTATATTGGCATATTCGCATGTATACATAATTGTAAAATAAATAAAAATTTGTTGTGTATACATGGTCAAATTTTTTCCCTATTAAGGTACACTATCAAAAACTTGGGAGTATTGATATCCTTAGTCATTGTGGACACTATTCCATAGTTCTGTTATGGATCTGCAGGAAGATTGAAAAGATAGTTCCCAAAACATTGATATGCTAAAACAGACAGTTGTTGTTAGAGCAACCACAATTGTGGAAAGTCATAGAAGGCAAGAGGATAAAATCACGTCAAGTCACCCTTATTGTTTTAAGGAGAAGATCTCACTATGGCATAATGGTTTGAAGTTTTGCTTGTTGCTATTTCCACCTAAAACTCTCTGGAAGATGCAGAGTTATGATCTGTAAAGGAAGGCTCCACACCATCGCCCGTCTTGGACATGGGCAGACTTGTGGCAGCACCAGTGTCTGTGTGTATGCTGTCACCCCTCAGAGATGAGGAGACCAGCACCCAGGATGCTGTCACACAGCCACA
The DNA here is from genome assembly GCF_000001405.40 of Homo sapiens. Taxonomy (NCBI): domain Eukaryota; kingdom Metazoa; phylum Chordata; class Mammalia; order Primates; family Hominidae; genus Homo; species Homo sapiens. The sequence goes on along the minus strand of NW_025791814.1, from coordinate 11,319 downwards.
CTCAGCTCAAAATTTGACCCATTCATTGCATCAGAGATTTCTCTGCATAACAAAAAAAAAACTGTGAGAAAATTTACAATTTGAAAAAGAAAACCCTAAATACAATTAGTCATTTTGCTGGGTACAAGAAAAAAAAAAGTGATATTTCTCTAACAACTCCTAACGAAACAGTGGCTATTATTTAATAAAGAAATTGCACACAGTAGTTCCCCCTTAACCTTCCTTGGTTTCACTTTCTGAGGTTTGAGTTACCTGCTGCTAACCACAGTCCAAAAATATTCAATGGAAAATCCCAGAAATAAACAATTCATAAGTTGCAAATTGCACACTCTACTGAGTAGCGTTATGAAACCGCTTGCTGTCTAAGAACATGAATCATTCATCTGCCCAGCGTATCCACACTGTCTACACTACCTGCCCGTAGCCACTTAGCAGCACTTTCAGGTATTATCGGATGGAAAAAGCATAGCATGTGTAGGATTCGGTACCACCCACACTTTCAGCCATTCACCGGGCATCTGAAGATAAGGGGGAGCTACTGTACATAAGAATCATAAATTTTAAAGCAGGTGTAACCTTTTAACTAGGTTTTTTTTTAAAATACTAGAACTTAACCACCTGATGAACAGATGCTTGTATTGTTTTTTAGAAAAAAAAAAAAGATCTTGAAAAAAAAGGAAGAAATTATATTATTTCTCCCTCTTGTGTTTCTGTGTTTCCTTGTTATATTTTTACTCTTATTTGATTAAGACACATGTTAATGGGTCTTGTTAACTTCTGGAGTCCTTTTCTCAGAGGTCATATAAAATTAAAATAACCATTACTTCATTCGATTATTGACCAAAGCACAGATGTGGTGCTACGGGAACAGATGACTGTGTCTTTTGTCATGCCACTATACCACAGACTTGGATTGTTATACCAGGAATAGCGTGATCTCAAGCCAATCTGGATCCCATTTTGCTATCAAACCGTCGTAAATAATATTTAACATTCAAAAGTTGTCTTTTGAACTACGAGGAAGAGGTCTGACTCGTGTATGGCTGGAGACGTTTTAGTCTCATCCAAGTCCAAGACTGTCCTAAAATGGAGGGCAGAAACCTTGAAGAGAGGGACTCCCCTGCTCTCTATTCTAGCTCCTTTGTGAGGAAAATTGCCTTATTTGAATGGTTGGAACAGTTCACAGCTTTTGCTTCCTTGCCCTTAAATGTTCAATTTGTGGATGATTACCTTCCTGCTTTATGAGTCTAATTTGTCTTCCTTTCATTTATAAAATGGCAGGTTAAGAGTAAAATATAAAATAATGGCATTTAGTGGGTGATTGATTTTTCTACTGGCAATGTCATAAATATGGGCCAAGTGTTTCCCTTCCAGAAATGGAATGAGCAGTAAATTCAGTGAGATTCTGAAGCATAAATTCAGAGCTCTTTGTGAGGCATAAACAATATACAAGCAGACCCATGCCTGGAATGTGTGGCTTATGCTAAATTGTTCATGTAGAATGGCCCCAACATGAATGTGGCATTTATAGGTTTGAGCCATTGATGACTGTGGCAAGCTTGCTTTGTTTGTGGCACAAAACAATCCATTATCGAACATTCCCATATCTATACCCCAAAGGCCCTTGTGCCAGGTGACTGGAAAACGTTTCTGTATTCATTGTTCACATTGCACCTCATTTGAAAAATGGGAAGAAGAATGGTAAATAGTTCATCCCTGGGGATGATAGGAAAGCAGAGCTCCTATCAGATTAATCACATGGGGATATGGACGTGCAATTCAGTTTCGAACTCCCCAAGAAAAGAAATTTGAATCCATCCCTTTTTGCATATAAATTTTCATATATTCCTATTTCAAATATAAATTTACTAAAATATTTAAATATTCAAATATCAATTATTTATTTTAATTAATATTATGAGTATGCTATTAAGAATTAATTTTAGATGATAATTAAATTATTTCCTTGCAATAATATGGAACTTGCTTTCCGCGTGCTAGATGTTTACCTTCAACAATATGCCAGAGTTTACAACTGGGCTGATGGAGATTGGGCACTGGGGCTATATTACTACAGATCTGCTTAGACTCTCTCTTATTCTCTTCTAATCACAGTCAAATTGGTTTTCTGTTTCAATACAGCAAACCACTTTCCAAGGTATTCACAGGCTCTGCCTCTCTGGCTACAGTCTCTTTTGCTTGAGTTTCATTGAGCTTATCTGAAGTGAGCTAGTCTCAATGGAGACAACAGGGAAACATAGGATATTAGAATTCTACGTCCCTTGCTCCGTTCCCATATTTTCCCTGACATTTTCCCAAATGTCAAGAGGTCCTTCTGTTGAGATCCTTCTTATTTTTTCTCATTTTCTTTTACTGTCATGAGAGCACTTATGTTGCGTATATAACAATGCACCCATTTCCCACATAAAAGGATTTACATGGCAAACACAGGTTTCAAACCAGGAGTAAAGAACAAAAGATGGAATACAACTTTCCCAAATGTATCCCAACCACAAGCCTCAACATTTAGAGAAGAGGGTGCCTGGCCTATTGATTACAGCAACTGATAAATCCACATCCCAAAACTTATTTATTCATTCAGTAACTGGACATTTACCAAGTGCCCAACCAGCAGTCAGACTTGTGAATGACATAAAATTGTCCCTTTTGGGAAGTTCACAGTCTGGGATGCTTCTAATCAATACTATGCAGCCTATAATACTTTAACAGCAGGATATTTAATGTTGTGTTTCATAAAAATATCATTAAATATAACATAAACCTGTATGCATGCATCCCCTAAAATTCTTCTTTTCTCCCAGTATGAAGACCTTTCTAGAAAGTCATTTTAAATTAATGAAAAGCCCCAGGCTTAGGTCCTGATATTATCTGTGCGTCCAAATAGTTCAATGTGTCCAGTGGTCTAAGAACAGAAGGACCATAGACAAATTGTGAATGCCTTCCCCCGATCACATCTCTAATGAAACACTGAGAGTAGAAATTAGAATTTTAAAAAATAACGCAGGTTGGGTGCGGTGGCTCACACCTGTAATCCCAGCACTTTGGGAGGCCAAGGCGGGCGGATCACCTGAGGTCAGGAGTTCGAGACCAGTCAGACCAATATGGTGAAGCCCTGTCTCTACTAAAACTACAAAAATTAGCTGGGCGTGGTGGTAGGAGCCTATAGTCCCAGCTACTCAGGAGGCTGAGACAGGAGAATTGCTTGAACCTGGGAGGCAGAGGTTGCAGTGAGCCAAGATCGCGCTACTGCACTCCAGCCTGGGCAAGAGAGAGAGACTCCATCTCAAATAAATAAGTAAATAAATAACACAAAGAATGTGCTCATCATAAGTTTAAGAAACTTTCCATTACAAAAACATGTTTTCTTTTCATCTTGATCGTACTACTTCACTAAACCTTTAATAAAATCAATAATGAGTCATTTATTTTCTTTTTGAAAAAAAAATATACATCTTGCATTGTGTCATTCTTAAAATTCAAAAGAGAAAACCTGAGACTTTTTAACCCCACAGCATTTCTTCATAGAATGCATGACTGGGGAAACAAGTTTTATGGCAACTCTTAACAATCATCGGCCCTGGGAAACACATATTCCTGCTTAATTTTGACCTCTTCTCTATTAGGAAAAGTTGAACTTCAAACCCAGATTGTAACTGGTGACTATGTGGACTTAATATCCCCAATTAGAGGAAAGAGTATCTTTCATGGTGTTGTCCAACGAAACTAAAACTGATCTTGCTTGATCTGTCAGAGTCCTTGCTGCAGGTACACCCTCAAATGGGGTTATAATTACATAAGAAGTTGAATTGTCATTTGACCTTTGTTGCTGGGTTTTGCAGACCATTTGCAAAACCCACATTTTATGCAGTCACCCTCAGAATCTGTGCTTAACAACTGGTCTAAAATATACAGCTCCTTACAAATCTAATCAGCCACCCATTAGCATCTGTTTGAGTTTACCCTTACGTTGTAAGAAGCTCAAAGCCATAATCTTTCTCTTCTTAGGATCTGTTTCGTTTTAACCTTAGTCCCTCCACTGGGCAATCGTGAGAGTCAACTATGTAAGCCCCAAACCACTGTTGTATGTATGATATTTTAAAATCAGTGGCAAAACATTTTTTTAATTCATGTTTTTTCTATGTCCTCACCTCACGAGTTAACTGCATGTAGCCTCCCGTTTGCAATCTCTGTCAAGAAAAATGCCATTTACAGCTTTCTTCTTCCTTTAGAGATTATTGTACGTTTTAACGTATACATTAAGTTCGACATGGATTCTGTTTGGGTGCTAAGAACAGACATGTGTATCTAAAGATTTACCCTTAAATGTCCTTGATGTTTTTCAAACCATGCCTTTGATGGGCATCGCCTTGCCCTGCGGCCAATGTCTAGACGAAAGAAAGAGCCACAGCCCTTGTACTGAGTTGCACTTTCCCATCCACGCCAAAGCAAGAAAAAAGCCCAGCCCATGACCGTGAAACTCGGGGTTACGAAGAGGCTTTTCCCAAAGGGGTCTCAAGTCCAATTAATAGCTGTCATTTGATTACGTGACCTGGAACGTCTCCAACCCGCACCCTAAACAGGGCAAGGGCGTCACGTTTTTAAATTCACGCTCAGATGTTTGTCCTTATGCCTTCCAACCTTGCCCCTAGCTCTCCTAAATGAGTTCTTTTGAAAAGCAACTTAAAAATAGACACCTAAAGGAGAACGTGGGACTGACTGTCATTATTCCAGGAACTCTTTTTTCAAAAGCTCTATGAAGTGGCTGAACAAAGGTAGTCATTTTTCTTGTGCCTGGGTGAGTACGATGAGGGAGAAAGAATGCACCTTGTAAACTGAGGCTGTGATGGTTAAGATTTCTGATCCAGCTGATAGACTTAAGCCTGCATTCTGATCCCTGCTACATTCTCTTCCAATTCATCTCATAGATTGCTCCAGGCACATCTGACATATTTTAATACCAAAATGTAAATCAGACACCCCCACAAACCACCTCCTCTCTCTCACATTACCCTAAATTTGGACTTTACTTTCCTCGCTGTACTTTACTTTCCTGAGCTGTTCTTTTCTATCACATGTCATTTCCCCTAAAAAGTGTTGTTACAGGAAATAAAGAAGACGTCTTGTTGTAAAGCTGCCCAGTTTAAAGCCAGTTCGAGGCTCCCTTTGCCACTCCACCTTTCCCTTAAAGGCGGGGAGGCCTGGAAGTGCAGAGCAGGCCCCGGGGAGTATATGACACTTTGGGGTCCTCTCCAGCCAGCAGGCTTGCCCACTGGCCTGGGTAAGCAGCTAATGAGCTCCGGAGCCTCTGCAGCAGGCACTCAGCCCTGGCACTGCAGCAGGCACTATTGGCCCACCAGACCCCAATCAATCCTAAGGTCAAGGAAAGTCTGGCAAAATCCATTGCTCTGGCTTTCTTTGGTAATTAGTCACACATGCAAGTAAATGATGATCTGAAAGCCATTTCTGCCTGAGAGTTATTAAAACTAGGAGCCACATTTAATTCATCCAACCAAAGAAACCCCTTGAGGGGTGCCATGAAGGGGGAATCGAGTTCTCTACCCAGAAAGGAGCTTCTGTTGCACTTTACTAAAGATTTTAAGCAGATTTGAGGTTTAGTCAAAGGACAAATTCCTGCTCTCCAAGGAGCACATGCCCAGGAACTTGGAGATCAGCCAGGAGCGGTGGCCATGCTGATGGTCAGAGGGAGGAGGCCTCATGTGATGTGAGGGGGAGAAGAGGGCAGGAGGGAGGATGAGGAGCAGAGAGCTGGGAGGGGTTTTGTGAGCAGCAAGGGGAGGCAGAAAAGTGGGATGTGCCCCTTGTGTGCTTTTATCCACATTAAAGGAACTAAGGCAAGAGCTCCTGCAAGAACCTGCAAATGTGTCTGATAAGCGCCATGGCGGGGCGGTGACTACAGAGCTGCCCTGATTACCCGTTCAGCAGGAACCAGGCTGTGACCCTAATCACAGGTGAGCTCTGGAACACGCGCTTTCTCCCTGGAGACCCGCACAGTTGAGTGAGCCCAGCAGAGCTGAGCATCCTGGAGAGCTCATGAGCACCTTGCTGGCCAGAAGCCTCAGCAAGTGACGGCATGACTGAGCCAGAATCCCAGGGTAGCTGACTTGACCCGAGAGGCCACCCCTCAGTGCTGTGCTGCTTTCTAAGTCCTTCTTCTATAGGAAACTCTTATTGGATAAGTTGTATATAAAGAAAAACCACTCCACGCAGCCATCCCTTCTTGTTGCAAGCAAGGTGAGCTGATGTGGACACAGAAGCTTCTGAAATATCTGTAGAGTCCAGCAGAAAGCCCCTCCTCCTAGCATGTGGGAAATGGAGGTCTCATCCTCATCATTCCATCTCTATTTCAGAGCCCCAGCTCCTTTCTTTCTTTCTCTTCACCTCCCCTCTCCTCCTCCAACCTCTGCCATCCCCTCTGTTCAGCAAATTCCATACACATTTAGACATCAAGATTCACCCGGCAGTCAACCACCCAGCATTGCAGCCCAAGTCTTGGCTCTACTGTTCTTTAGCTGGTGACCTCAAACCACTTAGTTCCCATCTCTGTGCCTCAGTGTCCTCATCTGTCAATTGGGAATAATAATGGTGCCCACTGCACGGAGTTGTTGAGAGGTTCAAAGAAGGTGACAGATGCAGAGACAGCCTGACACTGTCGGCACACAGACCATTAGGCAAGTGTTAGCTGCTGTTACAGGTACCATTGATTGTGGTGGTGGGAGAATTCCCATCTTCCACCCCACAGTTGGTCTCTCCCTGCCTCAAACCCCTGGCTTTGTCCTAAACCCCATTTCTAAGTTTTATAGTGCTTTGCTCTTCTTCTTGTCATGTTTACATCAAAAATCACCCATCAGAGAGATAAAAGCAGGGAGGAGGCATTTTATTTCTGAAGTTGTTAATTTTATCCTAGACTTCCAAGAAAAGAATCATCCATCTGTCAAAAAGAGACAGAGAAGATAAAAGATCTTTAAAAGTAATTATTTAAGTGCCAACCAAGAGGAAATGAAGATGCATTTGGCTCGGTTATTGAGTTGAATTAGAGAATGGTGTTGTACCACCGCTAATCTGCTTCATAGATGAGAAAAAAGGAGAAGATGATTTTAGAAAAACAAACGTGCTGTCAGTTGGCCCCAGTAAAACACATTCTGTATAAACAAGTTTAGAGAAGTGACTTTGGATTTGCAAAATTGTAGCTCTTCTTCTGCCGGGGCCGCCTCCGGTCTTAGAGCCACAGATCTATACACACGGATGTTTCCCAGTTCCTACTACTTTTTGCATTTCTTTCCCTGGTGCTCTGATTAACTGCAGAGGTAGTTTGTACAACTGAGCCATGAAATGCCACCCAACGGCCAGCCCTTTCCCCACCTTGTCCCCTTCCCTTCCATGGCTTGCATTCACCAGATGACCACCTGCCCACTCACATTCTGAAAGGTATCACCGCGGGAATCATGCAAAGACACGCATCTTCGTAAGAGAATAAAACATTTGGCTTTCTCTTCTGAGCTCTAAAACCCAAAGCACTTTTCAAAGTCACCATTCAATCAGAAAGCAAACCTTTCTCCTCCTCAGGCTAATTGTAGAAGTTGCAAACTTAACCAATTTCTGCACTTACCATTCAAACCAAGAGATTAATCCTGTCAGTTCTCCAAGCAAATAATTACAGGATTAATTTGTTCCTCAGCACTGCTAAGTCCCTCACATTTCCTGAGACTAATCCTTCAGCCGAGGTCCCTTCTCACTCCTAAGTTTCCCTCTCCAGGTCGAAGCATCACTCACCTCACTCATGTTGGCTCTAACTCAACAGCTCAGTCCCGCCGCTCAGCACAGAGAACACTGCTCAGGGGTCGCTGCTCCACCGGTTCTGGCTTTTCTCTTAAAAAGAGCTGCCCGGTGGCATCATGCCTCCCTGGAGCCAATGAGATGCATTCACCTGTCTGCAAGCCTGGCCGACATCTGAGAGCACCAGGGGCCACCTAGTGGTGCAAAAGAGAACGGCACGTTAGGTCGCTGCTCCAAATTCCGCCAGGATGGAAGGAAATGCTCGATTTCTTTAAAAAGTAATACACTCCAGCCTGGGCAGCAGAACGAGACCCTGTCTCTTTTAAAAAAAAAAAAAAAGTAAAAAGTAAAAGCTAAAGTTTCAAAGATCATCACAGGGATGCCATTGTGCGTTTTTCAATGAGTGCAAGATTTACATGCATGTAAAATACCTTTCAAATGTCAATGGGAAGGATTGTTTTTCTAAGGGAAGAGGAGCTCTGAAAATACCTGCGTGCCCGCTCACGCACTTTCAGGTTTTCCCAGGAGCTGTGTTTCCCTTGCCCTTTATAACACAAAACTCAGCCCAAGGACTTTAATATCTCTGCTGTCTCTCCCCTATCCCATATCTGTCGCCCTGCTTGTACCCTGAGCTGGAAGGATAAGAGTAGATGGACTGGGACATGGGAATGGGTCCCCACGACCTCAACAAAGGAGGCGAGCGGCTCCAGCAGCCTTGCTGATGTGCCCTCCTCACAACCACAGTGGGGCCAGGAAGGAGCCTGGGCATTGGCCCTGGCCTGGTTGAAGGTCTCCTTGCCTTAGTCCTGTTCAGCTTTTCCGGGAAGAGGTTCCATCCTTTGTTCAGTCCCAACATCGTGAGGCTCTGAAGAGTCTTCAAGGCATCAGAGTGGGCCCTCAACTGTCCCAAAAAAGCGTTGTGCAGACTGAAGGCACATTCACATCTGTTACTCTGCCAGTCCCGGTACAGGACTGAGAGGGTCTGGCGAGAAGATTGAAGCGTCTTGCCACCCGTCCCCAGCACCCCTCATCTCCCTGTGCAGAGCAGGCCACCAGACTCCAGCCCATCAACCCTCTCTCCTCAGCTCAGCAGCCCCACGCCCTCTGACCTGGACTGCCCTCCTTACATGCCCAGGTCACCGATGCGACCACATCCTCAGGTCCACCTTGGACAGCAAGCAGAAGGCCATGCGCCCCCAAATGGGCACCGGCGAGCACAGGCTGCCCTCAGAGGCCTTGGCCAGGAGCACCAGCTGGTCAGCACCCTCGCCCACAGCGTGGGAACACCAGCCAGCAAGACAGAGTCTCATACATGAGTTATTATAAAATAACCTATATTTCACAGAGCGACAGAAATGAACATTATATATATTATATAAAATATGTGTGTTATATTCGTTTCTTTTATATGTATATAAATTATTTATTTACATATCCTGACCACACAAATCATTTGCAAACTAATGAAGACAGCATCCTCCTTCTCTCACTCCCCTCCTCCTCCTTGCCCCCAATGCCACGCTTGGGAAGGCCCACGTGGGATGCCTTTAGGGTTGCCCAGGTGGTTAGTAGTGGGAGAGAAGGAGGAGGAGGGCAGGGTGAGGAACTGGAGCCATAGTGTCATCTGCGATGTAGGACAGATTGACAGATTGGAAGAAGGGTGCTTGCTTATCTATACTAGGAGACACCTGTGATTTCTCAGGGGCAAAAACCACACCCTCCCCAGGGGCCTCCTGCCCTGTTGGGGGCTGGACCCCCACAGCCTGGAGGTGTAGAAGGGGTCTCCCAGTGTGAGCCTCCATGGGGTCCCTGCTGTGGTCCTCCAGGCTGTGCAGAGGGCATGTGGAGAATCAGCCTGTGCTCTGCTGGCTGGCTCTGGAGCAGACCTGCATTTTCTAACAACACAAAGACACATCAAGGGCTGCAGCAGCCTGAGGTTGGCAGCACAGCAATTAGTGCTGAGGCTCCAAGTAGAGGGGCAGGATTGGAGGTGCAGGGCTGGGCTGAGGCTTTGCTGGGTAGACTCAGCAATTCTTTGGGACCAACCAAGGGACTATGAAGACTATTGGGGAGAATGGGTTATGGTCTGAGCTGATTGCCTTCCTCCAGAATTCATACATTCAAGTCCTAACCCTCAATATCTCAAAATGTGACCTTATTTGGAGAAAAGGTCTTTAAAGAGGTGATTAAGTTAAAACAAGGTCACTAGGGTGGGCCCGAATCCAATAGACTGGTGTCCTTATAAGAAGAATAGATTAGGGCACAGGCACTCGCAGAGGGACAACGCTGTGAGGATACAGGGAGAAGATGGCATCTACAAGCAAAGGAGAGAGGTCTCAGAGGAACCAACCGTGCTGCCCCTTGACCTCACACTTTCAGCCTCCAGAACTGCCAGGGGATACATTTTGGTTGCTTAAGCCACGCAGTCTTGGTACTTGATTCTGGTAGCCACAGGAAACGAACACAGATGCCATCACAAGCACACAGAGAAATTTCAGGGAAAGGATAGAATTACCTTAAGGGGGATTTTTCTCAAGGCCTTGTGGTATGCAATTTCATCCTACTTATTTCCCCAGGATATCTTTAGCAAAATAACTATCTCCTGTTAATGAGTCGTGGAGTTGTCCTGTTATAGAGAACACAAAATGAACGTTCAGTATTGCTACAAAGGGAGGGTCAAGCTGCCCTGGGAAATCGGTGCTCGCCAGTGACACAAGACAGGTCTGAGTGTGCAACCCACCAGGTCTCAAATGCAAGCATGCTAGCTGTCAAGAGGCACCCCAGCCTGAACACACATTGCATCCTCTCCCACAGATGGGCCCTGGGACGACATCTCCTCCCATTCATCCTCGTGGGACAGTACTACCCCAATAAGACCAGTTACCAGATCAAGAACGCCAAAGACTACCTGGACCTCTTCATAGCATATCCAGGGACAAGGACAGTCAATGAGCAATCTTTCAACCTTTTCCTGTGGTTCCGATGAGCAGTCAGGTTTGAGACGTGCTGCTTGACACAGTGATACTCTCTCCCTTTCCACCTCCTTTTCAGGCCCGCTTGGCTGTGGTTTACTTTTACACATGTATGTCAATAGCTTCAACGTGCCCCATCATTCGACTTTTCTCAGGTTAGCCAAACACTCTTACGTGACCAATGGGGTTCTGAACCAGAAGCTTAGAACTTGGATCCTAGATGTGAGAAATCATTTTCTGTATGACCTTGGCGAAGTTGTTCCATTGCTCAGTGTCTGATTTTCTCCACTGGTAATATACAAGTATTCAAGCCTTGCATCTGCCAACCTAAGCAAAAATATCTACATGAAATATATTGAGCTGGGAAATAAATTTTGAAGGAACTTCAGAAGAATTAGATCTACAGCTTCGTATATTAGATCTTGGGGAAAACTTCAGCCTGGCTGAATTAAAATACAGACATGTGGTTCTATAATTTATGGAAATGTATATATATAATAAGGACAGATTATTTTCATCTTCTTAGAAGCAT